>NC_000023.11:87007996-87311026 GCF_000001405.40 Homo sapiens | reverse complement strand
CTTTTAGCTCCATGTCTTTTCCCTCTGGAAGGTCTTGAGGGGCAATAACGTGAATGGAGCTGTCATCTCCTAGGATAATAATGCCTTCTTCTGGAATAATTCCTGAAGGACCTGTCAGCAGATGTGTTACAGTTAGCTTTTGTTTTCTTAATAAGGAGTAGGAGTACATTCTAAAATAACAACAAAAAGTATAATTCAGTAGATACTAAACCAGTAACATAATTGTTTAATCATTGATATGGTTTGGCTCTGTGTCCCCACCCAAATCTCATGTCAAATTGTAATCCCCATGTGTCAAGGGAGAGGCATGGTGACAAGTGATTGGATCATGGGGGCGGATTTACTCCATGCAGCTCTCATGACAGTGAGTTTTCATGAAATCTGATAGTTTAAAATTATGCGACTTCCCCCCACCCCTTCCCTGCCGCCTTGTGAAGAAGGTGCTTGCTTCTGTTATACCTTCTGCCATGAATGTAAGATTCCTGAGACTTCCCCAGTCACAACTGAATCAATTAAACCTCTTCTTTATAAATTACCCAGCCTCAGTTAGTTCTTTATAACAGTGTGAAAATGAACTAATACAGAGAATTGGTACCAGAAGTAGGATACTGCTATAAAGATACATGCAAATGTGGAAGCGACTTTGGAACTGGGTAATGGGCAAAGTTTGGAAAAGTTTGAAAGGCTCAGAAGACAGAAAGATGTCAGAAAGTTTGAAACTTCCTAGAGACTTGTTGACTGGTTATGACCAAAATGCTGATAGTGATATTGACAGGGAATTCCAGGCTGAGGTGTTCTCAGATAGAGATGAGGAACTTATTGGGACCTGGAGTAAAGGTCACTCACTCTTGTTATGATATAGCAAAGAGACTGATGGCATTTTCCCCCTGCCCCAGAGATCTCTGGAACTTTGGACTTGAGAGATGATTTAAGGTACCTGGTAGAAGAAATTTCTAAGCAGCAAAGCATTCAAGATGTAAAGTGTCTGCTCCTAAGAACATATAGTCACATGGGTTCATAAAGAGATGTTCTGAAATTAGAACTTTTGTTTAAAAGGGAAGCAGAGTATACAAGTTTTCTACCAACCATGTGGTAGGAAAAGAAAAAAAAACATTTTTCGGAGAGAAATTCAAGCCTGCTGTAGAAATTTGCATAAGTAAAGAGGAGCTGAATGTTAATAGCCAAGACAATAGGGAAAATGTCTCCAGGGCATGTCAGAGATGTTTATGACAGCCCCTCTCATCACAGGCCTAGAAACCTAGGATTTAAAAAAAATATTGTTTTGTGGGCTAAGCCCAGGGCCCTACTGTTTTGTGCAGCCTCAGCATATGATGTTCTGCATCCCAGCCACTCCAACTCCAGCCATGGCTAAAAGGGGCCAAGGTGCAGATTGGGCCACTGTTTCAGAGGATGCAAGCCCCAAGCCTTGGTGGTTTCCACGTAGTGTTGGGCCTGACGGTGCACAGAAGGCAAGAGTTTAAAAACCTCCACGAAGATTTCAGAAGATGCCTGAAAACACCTGCATGTCTAGGTAGAAGTCTGCTGCAGGGGCAGAGCCTTCATGAAAAGCTTCTAGTAGGTCAGTGTGGAGGGGAAATGTGAGGTTGGAACCCCTACAAAGTCTCCACTGGGGCACTGCCTAGTGGAGCTGTGAGAAGACGGCTACTGTCCTCCAGCCTCCAGAAAGGTAGATTTACCAACAGCTTGCACCATGAGCCTGGAAAAGCTACAGGCACTCAACGCCAGCCTGTGAAAGCAGCCAAGGGGGCTGTATCCTGCAGAGCCACAGAAAGGGAGCTGCCCTAGGCCTTGGGAACCCACCCCTTGCATCAGCATGCCCTTGATGTGAGACTTGGAGTCAAAGGAGATTATTTTGGAGGTTTAAGATTTAACTACTGTCCTGCTGGGTTTCAGACTTGCTTGGGGGTCTGTAGCCCCTGGTTTTGGCCAATTTCTCCCATTAGAAATGAAAGCATTTACCCAATGCCTGTACTTCCATTGTATCTTGGAAGTAACTAATTTGTTTTTTTCATTTTACAGGCTCATAAGCAGAAGGGACTCACCTTATCTCAGATAAGACGCTGGACTTGGACTTTTGTTAATGCTGGAATGAGTTAAGCCTTTGGGTTACTGTTGAGAAGGGATAATTGTATTTTAAAATGTGAGAAGGACATGAGATTTGGGAGGGGTCGGGGCAAAATGATATTGTTTGTTTCTGTGTCCCCAACCAAATCTCATGTTGAATTGTAATCCCCATGTGTCAGGGCTGGGACCTGGAGGGAGGAGATCAGATCATGGGAGCAGATTCCCCCATGCTGCTCTTGTGATAGTGAGTGAGTTTTCACAAGTTCTGATGATTTAAAAATGTGGCACTTCCCCCGCTCTCTTCTGCTGCCTTGTGAAGAAGGTGCTTGCTTCTCCTTCACCTTCTGTCATGATTGTAAGTTTCCTGAGGCCACCCTAGCCAAGCAGAAATGTGAGTCAATTAAATATATTTTCGTTATAAATTACCCATTCTCAGATAGTTCTTTATAGCAGTGTGAAAACAGACTAATGCAATCATTATCAAGTATTCTGTACTGTATGTAATTGAATGTGACATCACTTTTGTACAACTGGCAATACAATAAGCTTGATTTCACTAACATCACCACAAAAATGTGAGTTTTTCATTGTATTGTGATGTTACAATGTCTACGATGTCACTAGGCTATAAGGACATTTTAGGTCCATTGAAATCTTATGGGGCCACCATCGTATATGTGTTCAATCACTAATTGAACGTTTTTATATGGCATATGACTGTATAGGTCAAACATTATCAAATTGTATACCTTAAATATGTGTAGTTTATTGTATTTCAATTTTATCTCAATAAAACCACTTTAAAATATCCATACTGTAAGGACTCATCACCCCATAACAAAACAATGTTTCAAGAATTATGTAGAACAGTTTATTTTTAAAAACCCACCATCATACAGAAAAAAAGAAATCCATACAGTATAAAAAGAGTCTTCTCTCTTGATCATACTTATGGCCAAGTTATCATCAGTTGTTTTTATGGGGTACATTTTTGTCTAAGTGTGCCACATATTATGCTTACACAAAGATATCTGGTTTGTGGGACAACTCATCTGTCCATTTATAGTTCTTAATAATCATCTGCACTGTAACAAAAAGTAATCCTAGTAATGCTTAGTACATTTCTCTTAATAGTGAACAAATGTCAACAAAATTTACATTCAAGGTAATATTGCTCCTTTGTCCTATGGAATATGTACTGAGAAAAAATATGGATTTCCAGCTATCACCCTATATAAATGAAAAGTTGTAGGCTCATAAGTTATTCAAATTTCAATTATTCCCCCATAAAATAAATGACTAGTCATAAACAAATTCAAATATTTAGCTCAAATTTTTTGATTACATTAATTTATATAATAAAACACACCAATTAAAAATGATTTTGGACAACAAAACTCGAGATAGTCTTAAGCTAAATAACAGATTACATTACTTTATATACAGCATCTTCTTATTTTTGTGAATTTATATATGTCAAAATGATGCACAGATTATTATTCTGTATCTAATTATGTAGTCTAAATATTTTAAAATTTGGCTAAAATACAGGAAAAAGTGACCAGTTTCTCATAAATGTGTTTAATGTGTACTTCCTAATAGCCTTGGTTTCTTATATTATCAAAGCTCTTATACATCGACAAGTAGATAAATGTAGAACCCAGTATACACTTATAACATGACTGCAGAGGGCCTAGAAAGTTGTCTCCTATACTAAAAATCATGAAACATAATAATAACAGCAACAGCAGTGGCAAAAACATATTGCTATCTCCACATCACCAACCTTCTATCCACTATGAATTGTTCATGTAACTTGATTCTATAGCATTTACTTCTATCAACAAGTAATTAACAAAGAGGAAAATTTTTCTCATTTTAAAATAAAAATAATTTTCAGAAGAGTTACATGTCATTAAAACAATTGTATAATATAGTTTATCCAATTACACTTATTGAAACATTTAGTGGGTACTCACTCTATGCATGCCACTATGCTGGGGCCAGAGATACGAGGATAAATATGTTGCATTTTTTGCCCTTAAAGTTATTATGATCTTCTATAGGAAATAGAGAAAAATTGATCAATTATTATATACAGCAGCAGTCTCCAACCTTTTTGTCATCAGGGACCAGTTTGTAGAAGATAATTTTTCCATGGACCAAGGCATAGATGGTTTGGGGATAAAACAGTGCCACCTCAGATCATCAGGCATTAGATTCTCATAAGGAGTGTGCAACCTAGATCCCGCACATCTGTGGTTCACAATAGTGTTGTTAGAGCTCCTATGAGAATCTAATGCAGCTACTGATCTGACAGGAGGCGGAGCTTAGGCGGTAATGCTGTCTAACCCACTGCTCACCTCCCACTGTGTGGCCCAGTCACCAACTGGTACCAGGGGTTTAGGGACCCCTGATATATGGCGTTTGCAAGTAGTATAAAAATACACATGATAGCCCTTTACCCAAGATAGTGTGCTAGTGTGTGTGTGTGTGTGAGTGTGTGTGTGTATGTGTGTGTGTGTGAGAGAGAGGATAGAATTAGAAATGAGAACAGGTTCAGGGGAGGCCTCTTCAAGAATAAGTGAGATTGCTCTTGAAATAAATTTTGAAGGATAACTAAGAGTTGATGAAGCAAAGGAAGGTAGGCCAGTATTCACATGCTAGGAAACAACCCATTTAGAGGCTCAAGGAAAGCTTGCACATTCAGGAGCCTGCAAATTGTTGACTATGACTAGAATGTAGAGTGTAAAGAAGAAAGTGGCAGTAGAGAGAAATAAAGGTGAGATGCAGAGAATTAAAATCATCATGACCTTGTATTGTGTGTTAAAAAGTTAAGACATCATCCTGATCATATTTTTTCCCTCTAATAATTTTAGCTAAGAGTAGTCATTACGAAAAAGAAGACTTTTATGACTTTTATGGGGAGAATGAGGACAGCACTAACATTTATTGAAGACCTGTTTTGTCTGATGGTTAGGAAGAGTCTGACTCCATGTTTTATATTTGACTGCACAGCATTTAGGCTCCTACCCTGCCCTGCCCAAACACTATATATCTGGTACTATAGACAAATAAACCTGCATGCCTTTTGAGATTTTGGGTCCTGTGGAAATTTGAACTTCACAGCCCCAGACTGAATGTGAGAACTCCTCTCCAGCCCCACTCTCTCGCCATTACAAAAGTCAAACCAACTCTCTGCTCATTGTTCTTGCCGTTCTAGCCAGATCAGCTTGCAGTTACCTTGCTCTATGTACAATTTCCTGATGTGAATAATAAACTCCTTGCAAATTATCAAGGTGTGTGAAGTGTCGTCAGTCTGGATATGTGGCCTATTAACTGGGAAGAGTCCAACTCACTTTAGTGCAGGTGATCATATAATACTGAGACTACATAAAGATTTCTCATATATAATCTTATTTAATTGTCAGAGCAACCATCTGAGATTGTTTTTATTATTTGCACTTTGGAAAGGAGAAAACAAATCTTAGAGAGGTTACTTATACTGTCCAAGTCACATAGCTAATAAGTGTTATTATTAGAACTTGATCCAGTTCTGTCAAAATAACAAATTCCTGCAGAAAGTGGAAATCCTGGGTAAAGTGCTGGGGATCATGACTTCACATGACTTGAGAGCATTCTTCTTATCTGCAAATTTAAGAAGACTGAAAACAAAATAAATAATTGGCAAAAACCACCCCTTAATATGGCAATATTCCATAGGAAAACTATAGTAATATGAAACTAGCCTGGCTAGAATATTTTTTTTTTCAAAATTGGCATGAAAATTACTGGAAACTGTCCTCATTTGTTTCAAAGAAATTGATTTCTTGATTTCTGCTTTAATTTCATTATTTACCCAGTAGTCATTCAGGAGCAGGTTGTTCCAGAATCTCTGGAACAACTAAAGCAGTATTAAGAGGGAAATTTATAGCACTAAATGCTCACATCAGAAAGCTTGAAAGATCTCAAACTGACACCCTAACATCACAATTAAAAGAGCTAGAGAGGCAAGAACAAACTAATCCAAAAGCTAGCAGAAGACAAGAAATAACTAAGATCAGAGAAGAATTGAAGGAAATAGAGACAGGAAAAGCCCTCCAGAAAAATCAATGAATCCAGGAGCTGGTTTTTTGAAAAAAACAAAACAAAACAAAATAGATAGACCACTAGCTAAAGTAATAAAGAAGAGAGAAGAGTCAAATAGACACAATAAAAAACGAGAAAGGGGATAACACTACTGACCCATAGAAATACAAACTACCATCAGAGAATACTATAAACACCTCTCCACAAATAAACTAGAAAATCTAGAAGAAATGGATATATTCCTTGATACATACACCCTCCCAAGACTAAACCATGAAGAAGTCGAATCCCTGAATAGACCAATAACAAGTTCTGAAATTGAGGCAGTAATTAATAGTATACCAACCAAAGAAAGCCCAGGACCAGACAGATTCACAGTCAAATTCTTCCAGAAATACAAACAGGAGATGGTACCATTCCTTCTTAAACTATTCCAAACAATAGAAAAAGAGGGAATCCTCCCTAACTCATTTTATGAGGCCAGTATCATCCTGATACCAAAACCTGGCAGAGACATGACAAAAAAAAAAAAAAAAAAAAGAAAGAAAGAAAGAAAGAAAGAAAGAAAAGTTCAGGCCAATATCCCTGGTGAACATCATGTGAAAATCCTCAATAAAATACTGGCAAACCGAATCCAACAGCACATCAAAAACCTTATCCACCACGGTCAAGTCAGCTTCATCCCTAGGATACTAGGCTGGTTCAACATACACAAATCAATAAACGTAATCCATAACATAAACAGAACCAAAGACAAAAACCACAAGATTATCTCAATAGATGCAGAAAGGGCCTTTGATGAAGTTCAACATCCCTTCCTGTTAAAAACTCTCAATAAACTAGGTATTGATGGAATGTATCTCAAAATAAAAGAGCTACTTATGATAAACCCACAGCCAATGTCATATTGAATGGGCAAAAGCTGGAAGTATTCTCTTTGAAAAACAGCACAAAATAAGGATGCTCTTTCTCACCACTCCTATTCAACATAGTATTGGAAGTTCTGGCCAGGGCAATCAGGCAAGAGAAAGAAACAATGGGTATTCAAATAGGAAGAGAGGAAGTCAAATTTTCTCTATTTGCAGATGACATGATTTTATATTTAGAAAACCCCATCATCATCTCAGCCCCCAAACTACTTAAGCTGATAAGCAATTTCAGCAAAGTCTCAGGACACAAAATCAATGTGCAAAAATCACAAGCATTCCTTTACATTAACAATACACAAGCAAAGAGCCAAATCATGAATGAACTCCCATTCAGAATCACTACCAAGAGAATAAAATATGTAGGAATACAGTTAACAAGGTACGTGAAGGACCTCTTTGAGGAGAACTACAAACCACTCCTGAAGGAAATAAGAGAGGATGCAAACAAATGGAAAAACATTCCATCCTCATTGATAGGAAGAATCAATATCGTGAAAATGGCCACACTGACCAAAGTAATTTATAGATTCAATGCTATTCCCATTAAACTACCATTGACATTCTTCACAGAATTAGAAATAAACTGGCACATGTGTACATATGTAACTAACCTGCACATTGTGCACATGTACCCTAAAACTTAAGGTATAATAATAATAAAATAAAAAAGGGTAACAATTAAAAAAAAAGAAATAAACTATTTTAAATTTCATATGGAATCAAAGAAGACCCCATATAGTCAAAACAATTCTAAACGAAAAGAACGAAGCTGGAGGCATCACACTACCTGAATTCAAGCAATACTACAAAGCTACAGTAACCAAAACAGCATGTTACTGGTACCAAAACAGACATACAGACCAATGGAGCAGAACAGGAACCTCAGAAATAACACCACACATCTACAACCATCTGATCTTCAACAAACTTGACAAAAACAAGCAGTAGGAAAAAGATATCCTATTCAGTAAATGTTGCTGGGGAAACTGGCTAGCCATATGCAGAAAACTGAAACTGGACCCCTTTCTTACACCTTATACAATAATTAACTCAAGATGGATTAAAGACTTTAATGTAAAATCCAAAACCATAAAAACAATAGAAGAAAACCTAGGCAGTACCATTCAGTACATAGGCATGGGCAAAGACTTCATGACAAAAACGCCAAAAGCAGAATTGCAACAAAAGCCAAAATTGACAAATGGCATCTAATTAAACTAAAGAGCTTCTGCACAGCAAATGAAAACTATCATCACAGCGAACAGGCAACCTACAGAATGGGAGAAAACTTTTGCAATCTACCCATCTGACAAAGGTCTAATATCCAGAATTCAAAAGGAACTTAAACAAATTTACAAGAAAAAACAAACCCCATCAAAAAGTGGGCAAAGAATATGAACAGACACTTCTCAAAAGAAGACATTTATGTGGCTAACAAACATATGAAAAAAAGCTCAACATCACTGATCATCAGATAAATGCAAATCAAAACCACAATGAGATACCATCTCATGCCAGTCAGAATGGTGATTATTAAAAAGTCAGGAAACAATAGATACTGGTGTGGCTATGGAGAAATAGGAGCGCTTTTATGCTGTTGATGAGAATGTAATTAGTTCAACCATTGTGGAAGACAGTGTGGTGATTCCTCAAGGATCTAGAACCAGAAATACCATTTGACCCAGAAATCCCATTACTGGGTATATACGCAAAGGAATATAAATCATTCTACTATAAAGACACATGCACATATATGTTTATTGCAGCACCACTTACAATAGCACATATATGGAACCAACCCAAATGTCCATCAATGATAGACTGGATAAAAAAATATGTTGTACATATACACCATGGAATACTATGCAGCCATAAAAAAGATTAAGATCATATCCTTTGCAGGGACTTAGGTGAAGCTGGAAGCCATCATCCTCAGCAATCTAACACAGGAACAGAAAACCAAAAACTGCATGTTGTCACTCATAAGTGGGAGTTGAACAATGAGAACATATGGACACGGAGAGGGGAACAACGTACACACCAGTGAGTGTTGGGGGGTGGGGGGTGCGGGGAGGGAACCTAGAGGACTGGTCAATAGGTGCAGCAAACCACTGTGGCACACATATACCTATATAATAAACCTGCACGTTCTGCACATGTATCCCATTTTTATTAGAAGAAAAAAATTAGTAGAAAGTGTCAATAATGAAATTCATTCATGAAAGTGTCTTCTACAGAGGAAGCAAATAGTTCTTCTCCTTGGTTTTTCTCAATTCTGTGATTTCTTTTATGGCTTTTTCCAAAGAGAGTGCTTGCCTTTGTCTTTGGGACCTGGGAGGTAACCTCCAAACACTTAGAATAGCCCAAGAGATAGGAATGCCTTTGTTATTTATTTGGGGCCCCTTGAACCATACCTGATAGTTTATGGGAATGAGGTGACTTATAGTGGGTTTCTCCAACCACGTGATAACAGCAAGATCTCTAGAAATCACAGAGGCTGGAGACTAATTCCAAACACAGGAGTAATCAATCAGTCAATCATGCTTACTTACTGGAGACTCAGTAAAAATTCTGGACACCAAAGTTCGGGTGTGCTTTGTGGTTGACATATTCAGTGTGTATTGTCACACATTAATGACAGGAAAGTAACACATCCTGATAACAATGGAAGCTTTGCATGTGAAGCCCTCCCAGATGTTGCCCGATGTGTCTCTTACTTTGGTGAATTTTCTGTACTCTTGCCCTTAGTAAACTATAACTGTGAGTATAATTTTCAGTGAGTTCTGTGAATCTTTCTATTGAATGATCAAACCTGAGAATGGCTTTGGGAAACCTCCAAACTTATACATGGTGTCAGAAGTGAGGGTAGTTTTGTGTGAACTCTTTCTCTAACTTTGCCATTGTCCCCTAATTAAAACCATCTTTTCAAAGGTTGTGACAGTGAGAGAAATCTAATATGGCTGGCTCCATCTTGCTTCTAGCCTCACAGACTGGCTCAGTCTTCACTCATTCCTGGGTGTATGCCAAGCTAACCATGGGAGGAATTTAGATTATAGTTTAACATTAAAGCAAGAAGAATAATAGTCTGTCCCTAAAACTAATTTTTGGGGGACTGAAACTGCCTTTGTAAAACTAACAAAAGATCGGTAGATTCGAATTATAGGAAAAGTCTGAATTCTGCTTAAATGTAGGCATAGTTTCTATAATCTCTTACTACTCAGGAGTCATGTCTTCAGAGGTCACAAAATTTTGTGACTTCCTTAATTGCTCCTATAGATAACATCACTATTATAGAATCTAAGATTGGCCTTTTGAGATGTTCTTCAGATTTTGGCATTCTGGCAACCAACTTACCCCACCCAGACCTGAGATTCATGACTCAAGCAGTCATGCGACCCATATCCAGAGGTGGACTCAGCACACGAGGACTGTTCCAGAATCTCATTTAATTCCCAAGCAATTGGCAGCACCCATTCCCTAGCCCCCTGCCCACCAAATTATTTATAAAAACCCTAGCCTCTGAGTTCTCAGGGAGAGAGACTTGAGTAATATCTCAGTCTACTGCATGGCTAGCCTGACATTAATTAAACTCTTTCTTTACTGCAGTAGCATGTTCTTGGTGAATTGTTTTTGCCTATGCAGGATACAGGAAGTTGGGTGATTACATAATTGCTTGCAGCTAGGGTCAGAAGCTTTGGTCAGACTTGGAAATCTGGAGAACTGTGCCTTTAATCTTGCAATGTGGTTAATGCCAGGAGCTTAACATAGCTAAACTGCAATGTAGTCACTTCTGACTTTGGGAAAGGGATAGCAGTATTAAAAAAAAAAATTCCACTCGTTTCACAAACATTAGCTACTAATGGGTAACTTCCATATCAGAAATATAAAAATAAACAATTCAAACTGTCAGATTATTTTTAAATATAAAAAATATCAAATGTGATTAAAAGTATGCTTCAGTAGACTATTAAATGGTAGATAAATCTCACAAAAGTACATAGAAAATAATGGCAGGCTACGAAGCATGCATGCTTGTAGTATATCTTCATATATTGGAAAATATTGCTATATTTTTACAGTAAGATAAATTACTCTTATGCATAACCTGTCAGTTTATTATAAGCAGGAGGACTTTTACTTTGTGCTAAATTACACAGTGTGCCACTAGAGTGCGCTATAACATTTTCTTTGATTAAAACATTTTTTCTGAAATCGATTCTGAACTACTCTTAGCAAAAATTTTCATTTACTGCTGAATTAATATTGTAAAACATATTTGAGAAAATTATTATAATAAAACAAATTTTCAACTTTTCTATTAAGTATATTAAGTTTTTTACACTTTTGTGATTTCTGTATATGCTTGAAGATTCTAAAAAGTACTAGAAACACTCATTGCAATAACCATTATTAATTCCAGCAAGAAATAAAGCACTGTTTTTTGCATTATCTAGTTCACTGAAGAAAAACAATGTATATAATTGGTAGCAGGGCCCAAACTCAAGGAGAATAAATATATCGGAAAATGCCTTGTAGTATTGTGTACTTCGGTTTTATTCAAAAGACTGATGTCATGTAGAAATATACCTATTTTGATTATATTAGTGTAATTAAAGTTGAAAGGACTTTTAAAGGGGGGACACAAAATAAGAAAAAAAAAAGTGGCTTTTTGTAGACATGCTGTTATTTATGGAATTAGCTTGTATCACCTAAGGCAAGTCCTGTTGGAAAGCAGCTAAGAAAGAGGAGGACAGAACAGGAACCCAGAATACAAACATGTCTTTTACTTTCTCGTCATACCCTCCACTACTGGAATGTCAAGATTCAGGAAAAAGGCAAGGCCCTAATTTCTAGCTGTGTATCTTTCTGCCAGCTCACAAAAATTTAAGTAAAACACCAGGGGATATGTAGATGTATGCATTTATTGATGTAGAGGAAGAGAAAGGCATATTTTGTCAGTAGACTCTGGCACCTCTGATCCTAATATTTTCAGCAGCATTTTAAGGTGGCCATCTACATCCCAACATACCACCAAGACTGGAAATGTAGTCCAATGTTTTATCTCCTGATGGGGATCCATGACAGCCAATATTAGGAATTAGAGGGAGGCTGTAACTATAGATACAGGGGGTATTTAAAAGGATCCAAAGAATAAACTTAGTTTAATAGGTTTCACATTTAGTACATGAATTTTATAAGAAGCTTTCTTAACCCAAATTGCATAAAAATAGACATAGCAACAAAAGACATTGTTAAAATTTGTCAAAAAAATACTACTCCAAAATATTTCAGATCCAGTTGATTTTATAGGTGAGTTCCCTCGAAGCTACAGAGGCTAATGATTCACGTGTATTTTACTTTCTTCCAGAAGATAAACAAGGAAAATTCCTATTTCATTTATAAGGCAAATATACTACCTTAATACAAAAACCTGATAAAGAAACTATAATTATGAAATCTAAAAACCAAATTGATTTATGGAGGTGGACACAATAACCTTAATTGTTAAGTAATGAAATTCATGAGTGCATTAAAATAACCATACACTATGATCAAACACAATTTACTCCATAAATGTGAGGATGGTTCAAAAGCAATCTGTTATTATAATGGCTTTCCTTAATAGAGCAAATGCAGTAGCACACACATGCATGCACACATGCAATTTTCTTCTAAATGCTGAAATGGTATTTGAGAAAATGAACTATCAATTTCTGATAAAAACCCATAGGAAAATAGAAATGGAAGCATTTTTTCTGTATGATAAAACACATCTCTCTCAAACAGACATGATCAAGATTCACTGTGATCATATAAAAAGAAAGAAGTCATAGGCCTAAATCATTATTAGTTAAAATATTTTGAGCATTCTAGTATTGGTGTAAAGAATGTAAAATAAATAAGGTGCACAAGCATGAAAAGTGAGGAACACATTTATTTTTGGCAGTAAATATAATTACTACAGAGAAAATTCAAGAGAACCAGATAAAAAATAAATACAATAATTTGAATAAATTTACATAACCATCCTTATAATAATTCTATAGTATAGGTCCTGATATATCTGTCATTATACATCTGAGAGAACAAAGCATAGGAAGGTTGGGTAATTGGCTCCAGTTTACACAGCTAGAAAGTGGCAAAGCTAGGATTTCATTCTTTATCGTCTGGTTCAAATAAGTAGAAAATATAATTCAAAAAATAAGATCCCATATACTAATTTAATAGAGAAAACACAGCGACATAACTGTAACATGAAATGTGAGACCTTTCTATGAAGAAACAATTAATCTTTACTGAAATACATTTAATTATTGAAAAATAAAAATATGCAAAATAAATAACAAATATCATTCAATTCTAAAGAACAAAATAATGTATTGTTGAGACCTTTTAAACACATGATCACAATTAAAATTCATCAAGCAGAGTAAGAGGGCAAAAGTAGACAAAAATACTTTAACAAACATAATGAGAAAATAACACACCATTTATCAGAATGTGTTTTTAAAGTATTAAAATTAAAACTGTGTAATTTAGCGTATAAATGGATAGGTAAAGTGGTTGCTGGAATTAATTGATTATTCATTCTATATCAGGCCCTGTTTTCAATAGTTTACACATAATAATTCATTTAAACCACTCAACATACATTATCTCACTTAATCCTACCTTAAACCTAGGAAGTAATCATCATTATTATCCCAGTTTTATGAATAAAGATATTGAGAAACAAAATGGTTAAGTAACTCTAAAAGCACACAGCTAGCACATGATGGCCTGTGTGACTCCAGAAGCTGAACTCTGAATCACTACATTGTGGATAGTGAAATAAGAAGCTATCAAATAGACTGAAGAATAAATAAGCAATTAATATATACAATGACAATAGCAGTTCAAATAGCATTACAAACAAAATTTAAAAAATGGCAGATGAGAAACATGACATTTAATGAGAGAAAATTTTAATAAAATTCATATAAAGAGTGTTTTAATCTTCAACATTAACATAATAAAGGCCATGTGTACTCAGCCCACAGTTAACATGATACTCAATGGTGAAAATCTGAACACTTTTTCTTTAAGATCAGGATTAAGACAAGGGTGCCCACTCTCACCGCTTCTATTCAACATAATATTGGAAGTCCCAACCAGAGTAATTAGACAAGAAAAAGTCACCTGATTTGGAAAGCAAAAAGTAAAATTCTCTCTGTTTCCAGATGACGTGAGTATGTATGTGTGTGTGTATACACACACACACACACATACATATATATCCCTAAAGACTCTACCAAAAAATTGTCAGAGCTAATAACAAATTTAGTACAGTTGCAAGACACAAAATCAACACACAAAATTAGTTGGATTTGTATAGATTAACAACAAACTATCTGGAAAAGAAGTAAAGAAACCAATCTCATTTACAAAGCACCATAAATAAAATATATAAGAATAAATTAAACAAACCAAGGAAGTAAAAGCTCTTTACACTGAAAACTGTAAGACATTGATGAAATAATTTGAGGAAAACATAAATAAATGAAAGTATTCTGTGTTCATGGACGAGGAAAATCAGTATCTTAAAAAAGTTCATGCTATCCAAGTGATCTATAGATTCAACGTAATACCTATCAGAATTATGACAGAGAATGGCATTTTTCTTTTTTTTATTATACTTTAAGTTTTAGGGTACATGTGCACAACGTGCAGGTTAGTTACATATGTATACATGTGCCACGTTGGTGTGCTGAACCCATTAACTTGTCATTTAACATTAGGTGTATCTCCTAATGCTGTCCCTCCCCCCTTCCCCCACCCCACAACAGGCCCCAGTGTGTGATGTTCCCCTTCCTGTGTCCATGTGTTCTCATTGTTCAATTCCCACCTATGAGTGAGAACATGCGGTGTTTGGTTTTTTGTCCTTGCGATAGTTTGCTGAGAATGATAGCTTTGAGCTTCATCCATGTCCCTACAAAGGACATGAACTCATCATTTTTTATGGCTGCATAGTATTCTATGGTGTATATGTGCCACATTTTCTTAATCCAGTCTATCATTGTTGGACATTTGGGTTGGTTCCAAGTCTTTGCTATTGTGAATAGTGCCACAATAAACATACGTGTGCATGTGTCTTTATAGCAGCATGATTTATAATCCTTTGGGTATATACCCAGTAATGGGATGGCTGGGTCAAATGGTATTTCTAGTTCTAGATCCCTGAGGAATCTAGGGATTTCTAACATAACACACTGACTTCCACAATGGTTGAACTAGTTTACAGTCCCGCCAACAGTGTAAAAGTGTTCCTATTTCTCCACATCCTCTCCAGCACCTGTTGTTTCCTGACTTTTTAATGATTGCCATTCTAACTGGTGTGAGATGGTATTTCATTGTGGTTTTGATTTGCATTTCTCTGATGGCCAGTGATTATGAGCATTTTTTTGTGTGTCTTTTGGCTGCATAAATGTCTTCTTTTGAGAAGTGTCTGTTCATATCCTTTGCCCACTTTTTGATGGGGCTGTTTTTTTCTTGTAAATTTGTTTGAGTTCATTGTAGATTCTAGATATTAGCCCTTTGTCAGATGAGTAGAATGGCATTTTTCAAAGAATAGAAAAGATCAATCTTAAAATTCATAGAGAACCACAAAAGACCTCAAAATGCCAAAACAATCTTGAAAAAAGAAAACTTAGAGGCATCATGCTTTCTTATTTCAAACTATATTACAAAGCTATTTCAATCAAAATAGTATGACACTGGCCTAAAACAGGCACCTAAATCAATGGAACAGATTTGAAATAAACTCGTGTGTACACAGTCAACTAATACTGACATGAATGCTAAGAATACATAATGGAGAAATGACTGTCTTTTCAATAAATCATCTTTGGAAAATAAATGGTCTTTGGAATATGCACATGCAAAAGACTGAGATTTAGTCCATATCTTACACCACTCACAAATACTAACTTGACATAGATTCATGGCTTAAATTTAAGACCTGAAACTGTACAATTTCTAGAGGAAATATAAAGAAAAATCTCTTTGACATTGGTTTGTGTAATGATTTTTTTATATAACACCAAAAGCAAAAGCAAAAAAATAAGCAAAAGTAAATAAGTGGGCCTACATCAAATTTAAAGCCTTCTGCAAATAAAAGGAAATAAGGAACAAAATAATAAACAAAATGAAAATATGAAGTGAGAGAAAATATTTGCCAACCATATATCTGATAATTGGTTAATATCCAAAATATATAAGAAACTCGTAAAACTAAATAGCAAAAAACAAAATCCAATTAAAAAATGAGCAAGGGCTCTGATTGGACATTTCTCCAAAGAAGATACACAAATGGTCAATGAGCATATAAAAAATGCTAAACATCACTAATCACAAGAAAATTTCAAATAAAAACCACAGTAAGACATCACCTTATATGTGTTAGAATGACTTTTATCCAACAGACAAGAGAGAATTGTCTTGCCAAACAGAGAATAGTATTGGCCAGGATGCAGTGAAGAGTCCCCTTGTGCACTGTTGGAGGGGTTGCAAATTGATACAACCAGTATAGATAGAGGTTCCTCAAAAATTTTAAAACAGAACTACCATTTGAACCATAAATCCGTTTTCTGAGTAAGTATCCAATTGAAATAAAAATCAGCATGTTGAAGAGGTATCAACACTCCCATGTTCATTGCAGCATTATTCACAATATCCAAGACGTGGAAACAACCTATTTGTCTATTGAAAGATGAATAGATTAAGAAATTGTGGTGTATAGAAATACAATGAAATATTATTCAGCCATAAAAAGGGGAATATTCTTCCATTTGCAATAATATGGATAAACCTTAAAGGAATTATGCTAAGTTAAATACATAAGCCAGAGAACAACAAATACTGTGTGATCTCACTTATAGTTGGAGTCTACAATAGATGACATTGGCTGGTCACAGAGGTTCACACCTGTAGTCTCACCATTTTGGGAGGTTGAGGCAGGTGGATCACTTGATCCCAGGAGTTTGAGACCATTCATAAGCAACATGGTTAAAACCCATCTCTAAAAAAACAAAACAAAACAAAACAAAAAAAAGCAAAAAGTTTGCTGGAAGTGCTGGTGCCCCCCTGTAGCCCCAGCTACTCAGGAGGCTGATGGAAGAGAATCACTTGAGCCAGGGAAGTTCATTAAAGCTGCAGTGAGCCATGATCATGCTACTGCACTCCAGCCCAGGCAGCAAAGCAGAGACCCTGTCTCAAAAAAAATAAATGAAATCACAGAAACAGAGAGTAGAATAATAATTGCCAAGGGCTTCAGAGTGGGGAAAATGAGCAGATGTTGTCAAAGGGTACAGACCTTTAGTTATAAGAAAAATAATTCTGAGGATATAATGTACAACATGGTGACTATAGTTAACAGTACTGTATTGTAAATTTGAAATTTGCTAAGATAATAGATCTTAAATGTTTTCAACACACCCACACACACACACACACACACACGAATAAGGGTAACCAGATGAAGTGATAGATATGTTAAGTAACTTGATTGGGATAATAATTTCACAATATATACATATAACAAATCAATATCTTGTATCCTTAACTTTATACAATATCATTTATCAATTGAAGTTTGATAAAACTGGAAAAGAAGAATATGTTTTTTAAGAGAATATTCATATTCTTTGGTCTGTTACACTCTGGCAATCTATCACATGGAAATAATCTTAACTGTAGAAAAAAAGGTATTTACTACTGCAGTGTTATTTCTAAGGAAAAGTAGGAATTGAATTATCTTTGAATGTTATTTCATTTTTAATTGACAAATAATAATTGTATATATTTATGTGGTATGATGTGATGTTTTGATATATGTTTACATTGTGGAATGATTAAATGAATCTTAATGAGATATCACCTCATACCTGTAAGAATGGCTATAATAAAAAAGAGGAAAGGTTACAAGTTTAACAAAAAGGTTAAATAAATAATGTTACTAAACTGGAGTTAAACCAACTGATTTAATGTCAGGCATTCAATGAAAATCATGAAACTTTTAAATAATATAAAAATCACTATGCTAAGTGAAAGAAATTAGTAGTTTATGTAATGTGGTATATTTAGAATCATTTCATAAAATATTTTTAGAACTATTTCCCCAATTGTGTTTTCTCTCATTGTATAAAATTTGCCACTTTGTTTCAGGGCAAAGGGCATTATAAAATTACTTCTGGAAAGAGAAGAATATGACCCAGCAGAAGTCTACTAAGAAACAAGAAAGGGAAAGTCTTGACTCAAATAACTTCAGAAATATATACATATTCAGTGGTTTAATAAGCAGGTGTTGGAATTATAGGTTCATCTTTCAGGACATAGTAGGGTTTTTGACTCACACCTTACTTAGAATCCTAAAAATATACCACTGACAGAGTGTGTACTTAGAATGGTGGGGCAGCAGTAGCAATGACACAATTTTAGCAAAGTTAGATAAATGAACCTGGAACAGCACTTTTGATTCAGAAAGTCCTTCAAATGGCATACAGAGATTCCTCATCTTTAGTGAGAAATACAGAAGTGTAGAAAGTACTAGTAAAGTATTAATCAGAAGCCTGTGTCAGTCCTCTGATACAGATGGATTAGACTAGGGGTGGAAGTGAGGTCAGGTCAATAATCCAGACACTATGCCAAATCAGCTACTCAGTAGCTAAGTCTGTATCAAGGATGCATAATCCCCACATACATACACATCCCCATTGCCATGAAGTAATGTAAACACCCTACTACCACCATTTACCTAGGTGCTTTCTTATGGAGATATTCAGGGAAGGAGGGAATATTGAAAGAGTAAGAATTTATAGAAAAAAACGTGGTTAGCCTAAAGAAAAGTCTCAACTGAAGAATGGTGATATATGCTAACTCAAGCAATTAAATATTTTTGTTAATATTATTATTTTTAAATCTTGCCACCTAACACATTGGGGTTCAGGAAGATCAGTTTAGTTTTAGGAGATAGATTTGCTCTTGCAATCTTACCATATTTTTTTTGCCAGATGGTAGACCTATATTTTTGTTTCCTCTCCATCCATTACCCAGTAGAATACTATTCAGTTAATGCTTGCTGGAAGAAGGAATAAGTATCTACTACTTGAGAGGCAGTGTACTCTATTTCTTAAGCTTTTTAGGCTCTAAATTTGAATTGCAGCTCTATCATTTATGACTAAGAAGGTTGGTTAACATATCTGTGCCTAATTTCTTCGATTGTAAAGTATAGATAATAATGATATACATACACATGTTTAGTACAATTCTTATCACGGGATAAATGCTCAATAAATTCTAGTCAATCAGTGTTTTCTATAGTCATTGCTATTAAGTGCCAAGAAGGCACTACAATGAATGCCAAAAGAGTATAAATTACAGCTCCTGATATGATAGATAAATAAATAAATGGAGATGGAGACTGGAGGAAGCATATGGAAAGGGGAGTAGACAGTTCAGAGTAAAGGCTGAAGATCAGACCTTGCCGCTGATATTAAATTAGAGCAGCTTGAGGGGGAATTATGATAGTTTGGAGAATATTGAACTTCAAGAGTTGAAAACAAGTGGACTAGCAACACATTTCAAGATATAAGAGGTAAACTCACCCTTAAGGAGTCATAGGCATATAGATAATAAATTGTTACTAAATTTTGTGATAGTTGCACAATTATATTTGTGACTAGCTCTGCCTAAGAAATATTTTAAAGTAAAATTGTTAAGAAAATACTTATGTCGGTGATTTATTATGTTTTTGCTCTTCTGCCTTTCTTCCAGCTGTTATATCATTAACTGCTTTGCCTTACTATTCTGTTAACTGGGAAACACTCTCGTTGGACTGCAGAATAGGGGATATTTGATGGGTGGTGCTGAACTGAAAATATTACTCCCCCTCCCAAGAGAGAATCATGCGAAGGTCAATTTTATTATCTATACTGGCTGTGGAATGATATAATGTAAGTAATTTAGAAAACATAAGGACAACTGTGGTAAATGATTAAGAATATATATATATATATATATATATATATATAGTGCCAAAACAACCAGTTGAAACAAAACCTATTGTTTCACTTACAAAAAGCTGAACTGCTTGATTTAAAAATATATATATATAATCATTCTTTAAGAAAACATATTATGTATTCTTGAAGAAATGCTCACCATCACTGGTCTTCAGAGAAATGCAAATCAAAACCACAATGAGTTGTCATCTCACACCAGTTATAATGGCAATCATTAAAAAGTAAGGAAACAACAGATGCTGGAGAGGATGTAGAGAAATAGGAACGCTTTTACACTGTTGGTGAGAGTGTATATTAGTTCAACCATTGTGTAAGACAGTGTGGTGATTCCTCAAGGATCTAGAACTAGAGTTACCATTTGACCCAGCTATCCCATTATTGGGTATATACCCAAAGGATTATAAATCATGCTACTATAAAGACACATGCACACGTATGTTTATTGAGGCACTATTCACAATAGCAAAGACTTGGAACCAACCCAAATGTCCATCAGTGATAGACTGGATTAAGAAAATGTGGCACATATTCACCATGGAATACTATGCAGCCATAAAAAGGATGAGTTCATGTCCTTTGCAGGGACATGAATGAAGCTGGAAACCATCATTCTCAGCAAACTATCACAAGGACAGAAAACCAAACACTGCATGTTCTCACTCATAGGTGGGAATTGAACAATGAGATCACTTGGACACAGGGCAGGGAACTTCACACACTCGGGCCTGTTGGGGGGTGGCGGGCTGGGGGAGGGATAGCATTAGGAGAAATACCTAATGTAAATGATGAGTTGATGGGTGCAGCAAACCACCATGGCACATGTATACCTATGTATCAAACCTGCACGTTGTGCACATGTACCCTAGAACTTAAAGTATAATAAAAAAAGAAAACACATTATGTATTCTATTTTTTAATTTACTGCTTTCTAGTAATTTTAGGACTTTAGTGAAACAAAAGAGCTATATGATAATTTTTCTAGTTTGTAAGTAAGTGTGCATTGCTCCAATGACAGCATTTCTAAGTTAATAATATCTTAAGTGTTATGTAAGCATAATGACATTTCTTAATTATATTTATAACTCCTTTATTGTTTATAGCTGCAACTTATTCTATTAAACTCTAATGTGGAGCTCACAATTACATTTTCAATTGTAAGAAAAGAAAACAATATATTGTCTGATCACATGTTTGTGCTGATTTATTAGAACAAAATGTGACTGCAAGGCAACACATTGAATAAAACTTCAGAAAGAACTTACAATATTTAGATATAAGAAAATGAATGTTTCTTGATGTTTTAACCAGGTTGACAAATGACATAAATTTGTAATTCTTTGTATTTATGTAAACCTGTTTAACCTCATTATGTATTTGTCCTCATTTGGCATTGGTTCTTTGTTTTGTGATAAATTATGTTCTCTTTAAAATAATTAAATATTCGATACTCCTGAATGATTTTACAAAGCCTTTTTGACTGCTTTATCTCCCATTTCATTTCCTTTAATACCTACACAAACTGGGAACCACACAAAAATGACATTGTTGCCTTGACAAATTACCCTATTATAGACATCAATAATTCCCAAAGCCCATCCTCACTGTGGTGATTGAAATTTCCAGGATGATATCAATGGCACTTAAAAGATCTGAAAAAGTGATAGATTGTAAAGGTTGTACTTTAGCAATCTAATTTGGTGCCATAAGGACATGAAATAACTCACGAGTATATCCTGATAAGTAGTCCAACAACCTAGCTGACTTAAAAAAAACTGCTGTCAGATGATTTTCTGAGGAGGAGAATACTATTTGTGGTATTCAAAGGGAGAAGCAAGCTACAATGAAAAATAACCTAGTGAACTATAAAATAAACAACACACCATAGAAATTTCTATAAATTTCATATTACCAAACAGAGCATCACATTCACCATGTTTGCTTAAGCTTGTAAAGTAGGTAAAGTTTATATCTGGGTTATTAGTAGGTACATTTCTCTTACAGATATAAATTTGTATTTGATAAGAAAGATGCAGTCAGATACTTTCCAGAACTTTTCTATCTGACCTTAGTAATGAAACCACAGATATCAACAAATAAAGAGAAATGTTGAATCTCAATATTTTATGCCATTTATGGATGCCATTGTGTTCAAAAGAATATACCTATAAATTCTAAAAGAGGTATTGCTCATGTCTTCTACTTGATAACATTTTGCAAATTTAGCTCCTTTCATTATTTTTTGAATCAAGGATTGGAATGGCTCTCCTTTCACTTTTGAACTATAAAAATAACTTATTGGGCAACATATTGAATAACATCACATATATCTATCAAATTTTAGCTTGCAGAATTAAGCATTTGACACATATAATCAAATAACTATTATTAGAGTTCCAGATAATAGAAAAAGAATTTCCTTATACATTTGCTAAAAGATTACTGATGCTTCTATTTCTACGCTGTTAAGACATGCATTGTTCAATCACCAAACTGAATATGATGACCATAAGATAAGTCATTATTCAGTCATACTTCTAAATATTCCAATTCCATAGTAAATGTCATTTTTTGTTTGTCACTGGCAATATGGAGGCAATGAATTACAGTTGTCTTTAAAGTATTCATAGATAATTGAAATTACTAACTCTATTGGATATCTAACCAGAAAAGTATCTACATTTGAAATAAAGTTTGGCATTACTCTGGAAAGTGGTATACCGTGAGTTTTTCCACTTCAACTTTTTTTGCATTTCTACCATCACATATTCTATAAAATTATTAAAAAATGCTTTGATGAGATAAGTAATAAGATGGAATGATTTCTTATTGTATTTTTTATTTCTCTTCATATAAGTGATATCAGTCTTGTGTAAGCATATTTTAAAAAGAAGCATACAAATAAATAAATATATTTTATTATCTATAAGAAAATTCCAAAGATACAACATAGAATCATTTTGTCTTCATACTTTTCAAATACAAGTGTTTACTTTTAATGAAAGGTAAAGAGTATAGGTGGATTTTTCGAAAAACAAAGGATAAATACTTGTAAATCTTATGTCATTTTCTAAAATCTGTATGAGTAAAATGCATGAAGGCATATTGAAGTACTTATTATTTACAAAAACAGACCCTACAGCTAAGTATTTTGAAGTACAATACTCTCAGAAATTACAGGTACTCTAGTCCTTTTTTCAGCAGTCTCTTATAATTTCTATCACTGTCTATAAATACAACACTTAAAAACTCCTTATTACGGAATGCTTTATTAACATCAGAAGACAGTCTTATGACACCATCTATGGTTGATTGATTTGCCTGAAAGCCACTTTAATACTGAGAAAGGTGATTATTCTTCTCTAGAAAGAATGACAGAATATAATAAATCATTTCTTCCATCATCTTACATGGCTATGAAGTTAAGGCTATCATTTGATAAGAACCTAAATCAAGAGATGATTCATTGTATAAAAAATAGAAAATGCAAAGATAGCTTTCTCATTTTGTGAAACTTCTTGTACTACAAATACATAATAACGAGAAATATGATGAAGTACTTGAAAATAATTTGAACTTGACTGACACAATTCCGAGCTCTTTGCCTTTCTATTAGAAGGTGCCTCAGATTCAGCATTAGATAACTGTCTTAATTCATTAGGGCTCCTAAAACAAAGTATCTTAGACTGGGTAATTTACAAACAACAGAAATGTATTGCTTACAGTTCTAGAGGCTGGGATGTCCAAGGTCAGGGTATCAGCTGATTCTGTGTCTGGTGGGGGCTTGCTCTCTTCTCCAAAGATAGCACCTTCTTGCTGATTTCTTACATAGTATAAGGGCCAAACAAGCTTCTTTTGGCTTCTTTTATAGGGGTTCCAATCCCATTCATGAGGGCTTTTTCCTAGTCATGTCTTAAAGGTCTCTACCTCTTACTGCTATTATACCAGTGATTAGTTTTCAACATACGAATTTGGAGGCAGGGACACTTTCAGACCATAGCAATAATGTTTCATAATGGTTTCTATCTGAAAGTATACTTACATAAATATAATGATTTATTAATATGTATTCAGTGTCAATATTTTTTACAATTTGATAAGTGGCAGTATAATGAAATATTCACTGGATATTATCAATTTATTTATTATACCTATTGAATACCGCACATCTTCAAATTTGTGACTGACCTTAAATAATTCCCTCTTAAGTTCCAGTTATGTATTTCAAATCCAATTAATATATCAAATTATCCCTTTACATTTTGATAAAAAAGCAATTCGTCTTTTTAAAATCATTTTTCCCATATTATTTTAAAGATTCAGGTGCATAAGCATTTGATTAAAAATAAATAAACAAAGCCTAGGGAGAACACATTCAATTTTCAGAAGGCCTTTGGCTTTCAATAAAATATCCTTTCTAAAATTAAACAATAACTTATATTTTGTAAAATCCCTTGTCCAAATACCTGTTTATCTCTTTAAAACAGAAACAAATATAACTCACAATGTACTGTATCCTGACAGGTATTTTACACTGGTGGGCAAACTAGCTAAACTAGGTGATACGGAAAATAAGTTTGCCTTTCCACACCAAGACCATGTTAAAACGTTGTCAAAAAATGTGTATCATTTTGTATAATATAATCCTTATTGTCATATTCTTCCTACTGGATATTTGGTGGACCTAAACAATTTATGTTCCTGAAACTGAAATTAACGGAGTTTCACCCTGAATCACAAGCATAACAAATTGCCCATAATTTCAAGACTACCAATGGCAACTGTCATGGTTTACCTCCAACAATTCTTTCACTTCAATTAATAGCCTGTGCTGCTGTCAAAATCTTCAACTCTCATTCCTAGACCCTTCAGGGATTGCACGGCTTGGTTTGTAAAACTTTCAATAAGATCTACTTCACTGAGTATTTAAAAAGTAAACCAGTATGATACTTCCCACCACTCCATACTACACTTCGTCTCAATTCTTGCTGTGATTTACAGTATATAGAGCCCTGAAGTTGCTTCTCCAGTGACATACGTTTTCACATTCCTCACATCTTATAGGGACTTTCTAGTATGAGCAGGGCTCTGTATTGTACAGCCCCTTCAATTTCTACCAGCAGTGCCTGAATTTAGGGATCCTTGAAATTTTGGCACAGCTTCCAATATTTGTCATAAGTATCCTTTCGCCCTTCTGCCTGGAATAAGAGTCACTTGTATAGGAACAGCTCATGTAACTATTCATCCTAACTTACTCAAATAATAGCTCTAATATCTTAGTTATTATTACAATTCTGGGAAACTTAGATGGATCTCCCATAGACTTAAAAAATACAACACATATGACTGACCTTTCTTTGAGAGAGGGAGGCACAAAACATGAGCTAATCTATAGAAAGTGGAGAGAAATCTTAATTTGCTTGAGTTAAAAAGTTTTATTTGCTTCCCTGTTGCTAAGACCAATAACACACTACTTGATAACTACCTGGATCTTGAAGTTGAAAAGGCTGCTGGGAGCAGACATAATAAAAACCTGGAGTTTCCAGAGTGAGGGGGAAAAACATTTTAAGAATGCTTTCCAAAGTCCCGTGGTTTGAATTTTAAAAAAGAGAGAGAGAAATTCTAAGAGATACCAGTGACTTGGATTTACTTATTTATTGCTTCAGCTTTTAGGGAATATTATTTGTTTTTAACAGAGATTAAAAACAGGAGACTCACAAAGAAAGTATTTGGTACTTCAGGGATTAAGAGAGTCTAGATAGAACTTGGACTGAACTCTGGAAAACAAACCAAGGTGGACCTCAGAAGTAAGCCCTAGAAAAGAGAAATGTGATAAAGATGAGATGAAAGAAATCCACGTGAAATAGCAGGTGGCTATAAAGAATCAAGCTTTTATTTTAATCTTAAAATCATAAAGAGTCATATAGCTTGTATGAGCTCTAGATTAGTTGGCTTAAGGCCAAAAAATTAATTACAGTAATTACTCTGGGTGTTTACATATTTCTTCCACTGTAATAGTGCTTCCTATACAAAGAGGATGTGTGATGAAATACAAAACTTTGAAATATGAGATGTTGGTCTCATTGAGTTGAGTGGAAGGATGGAATGTGCTGTCTTAAGACAAATGATCTAATTGAAAAACTAAGGTTTCATGGCCTATGAAAACGGAAAAAAAAAATTTCTCAAACCACAAAATGTTTCCACCGGTATTTTCACCCATTACTGAGGTAAAAAAAAAAAAAAAAAAAAAAAAAAGGCAGACAATGAACATTTACAACAAGCTCTATTTTAACTTACCTATGTGTCATCCTAAGACTTTCAGAATCCCAATATGCACCTAATAATGTACCTATGATTGAACCTCTAAAAGCACCATGTTTCATCAGTAAAGACTACCAAAAAGTTGTAATTTATACTTAGAAATTGCTGGAATATCATCACATTATCTGAGACAGGAGAACTTGTTGGAAGGGATAATCATAAATTACTTTGCTTAATACACTTTTATTAATCAAAGTAATATCAACATTTAATTATGCAAAATAATAAAATTATCTAACCTGTCTATCACCAATGGTCTTAACAAGAACTGTAAGTATAGTTCAAAGTGTGTCTCTCTCAAAGAGAACTGATCTCTGCTCTAAAAGATATATAAAGAAACCTCTAAAACAGACGAATTTTTCTTTTTTTAAGAAAAAACTTTTCTAAATTTACTTGATTTTTATTATATCTCTAAATCTGTATGCTGCTCATTTATATTCAAAGAAATGGTTCTACATTTCATAAGATTATTAATTAATAGGGGAGATTTGCCATTTTATGGCAACTCTCAAACTTTTAGGTTTCAAAGAGAAGAAAATTTCCAAAAAAGTTTCAGAACACACAAAACTGCTACCTTTTTTGCAAATAATAATATTTTTTAAATAAGACTAAAATTTCTTCTCATAATTTCCTGAAAGGACATTTTAACACTAAAAAGCATGAAGGACATAGTTTAAAGTTACCATTATAGTATACCATGTTTACCAAAGAAGGAAAGTGTTAGTATGAGTTAAATGTTAAATGAGCATGGGCTCTGGAATCAGAGCATGTTGGTTATTTTGTTTCCTTATATATAAAACAAATAATCTACCTTGTAATGTTTCTATAAGATTAAAAAAAAAATCAGGAAAGTATCTTAGAACATAATTTGATAGAAAGTAAACAGTAACTGCTGCTGTAATTATCAATAACAGTTGCAACAAAGTTGTGCAACTTAATATTAACTATGCAGAAAATTCAATCAAATAGAATATCTTTATCCCCAAGTAACCTCATAGGTTTGTAAACACACACACACACACACACACACACACACACACACACACACAGACACACACGCATGGCGGGGTGGAGTTATAATGAATCATTCAATCTCAGGCATAGTTAGGGGATAATTACAGGATAATATTAACTTTTTTCATTAAGGTCTCTTATTAATTCTACTTGGTGAAGAAATGTGGCCAACATTACTTTCTCCTACTATAATTACTTAAATGAAGAACAACTACTGCCAACATTTATAAAAAGAAAACATCTTTGTTAGCCAGTTTCACTGGTTGAAGCATGTGAATATACAGTTTCCTCCAAAAACATCCTAAAAGCAACACCACAACAGTTTAAGTAAAAGTGGAGTGGTAAGCTACAGCCTGATAAAAGGAAGATTAAAATACCTTTCTAACTGGTCTTGAGTTTATTTCGTTCCCTCATTGTGACAACTGTTTCTATTATTTATATAACAAATGCTCATTTGGGAATCTATTATGTGCCTGGTACTTTTCTACCTTTTACATGTTAGGGGCACAACAGGGAACACAACAGGTAACAATCTCCACCTTTATGGAGTATTATGTTAACTCCCATTGCACGATCTTGTAATGGTTCTACATTGCCACAGAAGAACTTGAAAACAGACTATTTTAAAATACAAAGAGGAGATAAAGTAAAAAAGAATAAAAAACTATGAAGCACACCTACAGAATCTAGAAAACAGCATCAAAAGTATAAATCTAAGTTATTGGCCTTAAAGAAGAGGTAGAGAAAGAGATAGGGGTAGAAAGATTATTGAAGGGAATAACAGAGAGCTTCCCAAATCTAGAGAAAGATATCAATTCCCAAGTAAGAGAAGGTTACAGAGCAACACACAGATTTAACACAAAGAAGACTACTTCAGGGCATTTAATAATGAAACTTCCAAAGGTCAGGGATAAAGAATAGTTGCTAAAAGCAGCAAGAGAAAAGAAACAAATAACATACAATGGAGCTGCAATACATCTGGCAGACTTTTTGGTGAAAGCATTATGGGCTGAGAGAGTGGCATGACATATTTAAAGTGCTGAAGGATAAAAACATTTACCCTAGAATAGTATATCCTAAGAAAATGTTCCTCATACCTGCGAGAAAAACAAAGACTTTCCCAGAAAAACAAAAGCTGAGGGATTTCATCAACTTCAAATCTCTCCTATAAGAAATGCTAAAGGGAATACTCAGCCAGAAAGAAAAGGACATTAATGAGAAATAAACAATCACCTGAAGGTAGAAAATTCACTGCTCATAGAATGACACAGAAAAACACAGAATAACACCAAAATTGTGGTGTGTAAACTGCTCTTACCCTAAGTAGAAAGACTAAATTATGAAAGAATCAAAAATACAAACTACTTTCCAAGACATACTCAGTAAAACAAGATATAAATAGAAACAAAAATAAAACTTAGAAAGTCAGCAAACAAAATTAAGGCATATAGTTTTTATTAGTTTTCTTTTTGCTTGTTTATGCAGTAGTAAATTGTTATCAGGTTAAAATAATTTGTTAAAAGACGGTATTTACAAGCCTCATGGCAACCATAAACCAAAAAACATGCAACAGATACAAAAAAGTTAAAATAAAAAAAATTATATCACCAGAGGAAATCACCTTCACTAAAGGAAGACAGGAAGAAAAGAAAGAACCAAAGAAGACAAAAAAAAAACCCAAAAAACAAATAACAAAATGGTAGAAATAAGTCCTCACTTATAAATAATAATATTGAGTGTAAATAAAATAAACTCTCCAATCAAAACACATAGACTGGATGAATGGATGAGAAAACAAGACCCATCGATCTGTTGCCTACAAGAAACACACTTTGCCTATAAAGAAACACATTGACTGTAAGTAAAAGGATGGAAAAAGATATTTCACACCTGTGGAAACCAAGAAAAAGCAGGAGTCACTATACTGAAATCAGACTAAATATATTTCAAGACAAAAACTATAAGAAAATAAAAAGAAGGGAGGGGCCAAGATGGGTGAGTAGAAACAGTTCCAGTCTGCAGCTCCCACTGAGACAAACATAAATGGCAAGTGAATTCTGCATTTTCAATTGGGGTACCCAGATTCTTTCAATGGGACTGACTAGGCAGTTGGTGCAATTCACAGAGAGCAAGAAAAGGCAGGTAGGGGGATGGTTCACCCAGGAGCTGCATAGGGCAATGGGACCTCCTGCCCCAAGCCAAGGGAGGCAGTGAGGGATTGTGCTACCTGCTCAGGGAACTACACTTTTCCCATGGATTTTTGCAACCTGTGGATCAGGAGATTTCCTTGTGAGCCCACACCACCAGGGCCTTGGGTCCCAGGCACAAAGCTCTGCAGACCAACAGTGGCCACTCAGGTCTGTGGCTGCTAGGGCAAGCACTGAACTGCAGGATTTTTTGCATACTCCAGTGGCTCCTGGAACTACAGTGAGGCAGGAGATCCATCCACACTTGTGGGAAGGGTGCTGAAACCAGGGAGCCAAGTGGCCTCACTCAGTGGGTCCCACTCCCATGGAACCTGGAAAGCTAAGACCCACTGACTTGGAATCCCCATTGGCCAGCACAGAAGCCCCGAGTCTGCCCAAGAAGACTGGATTCCTGGGGAGAGGAGTGACTGTCATTACTGCAGCTCTAGTCTGCAGTTTTCCCCTGCCAGTGCTAGGGAGACTGAGCAGTTTGGACTGGGTGGAATTTCCCACAGCATAGCACAACAGCTGTGGCAGAACTTGGCCAGACTGCTTCTTTAGGTGGGACCTGGGTTCATCCCTCCTCACCAGGCAAGACGTCCCTGAAAGAATTCCCACAACTCCATCCAGGGGTTTAGAGAGAGTACTCTCATCACCCTGGAACAGAGCACCTGAGGGGAGGGGCAGCCACAGTCTCAGGTTTGGTGAACTTAATCTTTCCTGCCTGCTGGCTCTGAAAAGTCCAGGCAATCTGGACAAGGGGGATTTCCCCCAGTGCAGTGAACTCACTCCACCAAGGGGCAGCCAGACTGTTTCCTTAAGGAGGTCCCTGATCCTGTGCCTCCTGACAGGGTGAGACCTCACAACAGGGGTCACCAGACACCTCATACAGGAGAGTTTTGGCTGGCATCAGGTCAGTGCCCCTCTGGGACAAAACTTCCAGAGGAAAAAGCTGGAAGCAATCTTTGCTGTTCTGCAACCTCCATTGGTGATACCCAGTGAACAGGGTCTGGAATGAATCCTCAGCAAACTGCAGCAGATATCCAGAAGAAGGGCCTGTTAAAACCAAAACAAACTAACAGAAAGTGACAACAATAACAACATCAACAAAAAGACCCTGCAGAAACCCCATCCAAAGGCCAACAGCCTCAAAGATAAAAGGTAGATAAGTTCACAAAGATGAGGAAAAACCAATGCAAAAACGCTGAAAAATCAAAAAGCCAGAATGACTCTTCTTCTCTAAGTGATCACAACGCCTCTCCAGCAAGGGCAGAGAACTGGGCTGAAGCTGAGATGGGTGAATGGACAGAATTGGGCTTCAAAAAATGGGTAATAATGAATTTTGCTGAGCTAAAAGATTGTGTTCTAACCCAATGCAAAGAAGCTAAGAACCACGACAATAGATTACAGAAGCTGTTAACCAGAATAGCCAGTTTAGAGAAGAACATAAATGATCTGATGGAGCTGAAAAACACAGCAGGAGAACTTTATGATGCAAACACATGTATCAATAGTTGAATCAACCAAGTGGAAGAAGGAATATCCGAGCTTGAAGACTATCTTGAATCTTGCTGAAATAAGGCAGGCAGACAATATTAGACAAAAACAAATGAAAAGAAATGAACTAAACTTCTGAGAACTTTGGGACTATGTAAAAAGACTGAACCTATGACTGATTGGAGTACTGAAAGAGATGGGGAGAATGGAACCAAGTTGGAAACACACACTTCAGGATATCATCCAGGAGAATTTCCCCAACCTAGCAAGACAGGTCAACATTCAAATTCAGGAAATCCAGAGAACCCCATTAAGATACTCCACGAGAAGTTCAACCCTAAGTCACATAATCATCAGATTCTCCAAGGTTGAAATGAAGGAAAAAATGTTGATGGCAGCCAGAGGGAAAGGCCAGGTCACCTACAAAGCGAAGCTCATCAGAATAACACCAGACCTCTGAGTGGAAATCCTACAAGCCAGAAGGTATTGGGGACCAATATTCAACTTTCTTAAAGGAAAGAATTTCCAACTCAGAATTTCATATGTGGTCAAACTAAACTTCATAAATAAAAAATAAATAAAATCCTTTTCAGACAAGCAAATGCTGAGGGATTTTGTGACCACCAGGCCTACCTTGCAAGAGCTCCTGAAGGAAGAACTAAACATGGAAAGGAAAAACCATTACCCGTCACTACAGAAACACACTGAAGTACACAGACCAACACTATGAAACAACTACATTAAAAAATTTTGCTGGTCTGCAAAATTAACCAGCCATTATCATGATGATAGGATCAAATTCACACAGAACAATATTAACTTTAAATGTAAATGGGCTAAATGCCCTAATTAAAGGACACAGAATGACAACTTAGATAAAGAGTGAAGACCCATAAAATGAGTTAGGGAGGATTCCCTCGTTTCCTATTGATTGGAATAGTTTCAGAAGGAATGGTAACAGCTCCTCTTTGTACCTCTGGTAGAATTTGGCTGTGAATCCGTCTGGTCCTGGACTTTTTTTGGTTGGTAGGCTATTAAATATTGCCTCAATTTCAGAGACTGTTATTGGATTACTCAGGGATTCAACTTCTTCCTGGTTTAGTCTTGCAACAGTGTATGTGTCCAGGAATTTATCCCTTTCTTCTAGATTTTCTAGTTTATTTGCACTGAGATGTTTATAGTATTCTCTGATGGTAGTTTGTATTGCTTCAAAGAGAATAAAATACTTAGGAATCCAACTTACAAGGGATGTGAAGGACCTCTTCAAGGAGAACTACAAACCACTGCTCAAGGAAATAAGAGAGGACACAAACAAATGGAATAACATTCCATGCTCATGGATATGATGAATCAATATTGTGAAAATGGCCATACTGCCCAAGGTAATTTATAAATTCAATGCCATCCCCATCAAGCTACCAATGACTTTCTTCACAGAATTGGAAAAATCTACTTTAAAGTTCATATGGAATCAAAAAAGAGCCTGCATTGCCAAGACAATCCTAAGCCAAAAGAACAAAGCTGGAGGCATCACACTACCTGACTTCAAACTATACTACAAGGCTACAGTAACCAAAACAGCATGGTACTGGTACCAAAACAGAGATATAGACCAATGGAACAGAAAAGAGCCCTCAGAAATTATACCACACATGTACAATCATCTGGTCTTTGACAAACCTGACAAAAACAAGAAATGGGGAAAGGAGTCCCTATTTAATAAATGGTGCTGGAAAACTGGCTAGCCATATGTAGAAAACTGAAAGTGGATCCCTTCCTTACACCTTATACAAAAAGTAATTCAAGATGGACTAAAGACTTAAATGTTAGACCTAAAACCATAAAAACCATAGAAGAAAACCTAGGCAATACCATTCAGGTCATAGGCATGGGCAAGGACTTCATGTCTAAAACACCAAAAGCAATGGCAACAAAAGCCAAAATTGACAAATCGGATCTAATTAAACTAAAGAGCTTCTTCACAGCAAAAGAAACTACCATCAGAGTGAACAGGCAACCTACAGAATGGGAGAAAATTTTTACAACCTACCCATCCGACAAAGGGCTAATATCCAGAATCAACCAAGAACTTAAACAAATTTACAAGACAAAAATCAAACAACCCCATCAAAAAGTGGGCAAAGGATATAAACAGACACATCTCAAAAGAAGACATTTATGCAGCCAAAAGACACATGAAAAAATGCTCATCACCACTGGCCATCAGAGAAATGCAAATCAAAACCACAATGAGATATCATCTCACACCGGTTAGAATGGCAATCATTAAAAAGTCAGGAAACAACAGGTGCTGGAGAGGATGTGGAGAAATAGGAAAACTTTTACACTGTTGGTGGGACTGTAAACTAGTTCAACCATTGTGGAAGACAGTGGGACAATTCCTCAAGGATCTAGAAGTAGAAATACCATTTGACCCAGCCATCCTGTTACTGGGCATATACCCAAATGATTATAAATCACACTGCTATAAAGACACATGCATACATATGTTTATTGTGGCACTATTCACAATATCAAAGATTTGGAACCAACCCAAATGTCCATCAATGATAGACTGGATTAAGAAAATGTGGCACATATACACCATGGAATACTACGCAGCCATAAAAAATGATGAGTACATGTCCTTTGTAGGGACATGGGTGAAGCTGGAAACCATCATTCTCAGTAAACTATCGCAAGGACAGAAAATCAAACACTGCATGCTCTCACTCATAAGTGGGAATTGAACAATGAGAACACTTGGACACAGGGTGGGGAACATCACACACTGGGTCCTGTCGCAGGGTGGGGAGAAGGCGAAGGGATAGCATTAGGAGTATACCTAATGTAAATGACGAGTTAATGGGTGCAGCACACCAACATGGCACATGTATACATATGTAACAAACCTGCACCTTGTGCACATGTACCCTAGAACTTAAAGTATAATTTTAAAAAAGTTTGTTCAAAATAATAACAGCAAAAATGTGTTTAATTATGTATGCTTCTGCACTTGTTTGTTTATATATACTTCTGTATAGGTGAAATGAATGACAAATAATGAAAGGGGTGGGAGAGAAAAAATAAGAATTATTTTGTTATTATTAGGCACTTGTACTACTTGGGAAGTGGTATAGTGCTATTTGAAAGCAGCCTTGGATTAGTTGTAAATGTATATTGTAAACTCTAGGTAAACCACTAAGAAAAGTACAAAAGAAGTATAACTGATGTACTAAAAAATAAGAAAAAATGAAATAGTAGAAAATTCTCAATTAATACCAAGAAAGGTGGAAAAGAAGTAAGACAAATATTAAATCGAAAAGGAGCAACAAATAGAAACAGTAAATATAATAAATATCAACTCAACTCTATTATAATCATTTTGAGCATCAACATATAAATGCACCAATTAAAAGAAAGATATTGTCAGAGTGAATCAACAGACAAGACTCAACTCTATGTTTTCTATAAGAAATCCATTTAAAATGTAGAGACATATATAGATTAAAAGTAAGTGGATGGGGAACAATATACCATTTCTACACTAATTTTAAAAAGTGGAAGTAGCCTATATTATTCTTAGAGCAGACTTGAGAACGTGGAAAATAATCAGGGATAAAAAGGGGCATTAAATAATAATAAAGGGGTCATTTCTCCAACAAAACAAAGCATTTTTTAATGTGTATGCATGTATTAGGCCATTCTTGCATTGCTATGAAGAAATATATTTGAGATTGGCCAGGTATGGTGGCTCACACCTGTAATCCCAGCAATTTGGGAGGATGAGGTGGATGGATCACTTGAGCCCAGGCATTTGAGACCAGCCTGGTCAACATGGCAAAACCCTATCTATACAAAAAATATAAAAATTATCTGGGCATGGTGCCGTGTTCAATTTGAGATGTCTATTAGATGTACAATCAGTCCTTTTTATTCTGATATAAGGCATCATTTTATTATATGTTTGATTCAACTTGTTTGGAGGAATTCACATCTGGAATTAATTCAGAAGTTATATATGAATATAATTTGATATATAAAATATTGCTTTATTTACAACTTATTTTCAAGACTAATCAAGGACAGCAATCAAGGTCAGATATATGTAATTTTAAATGTTGGACTTTGCATTACATTTTTTCCAATCTTGCAAAGATAAGTGTAACGTACAGATAATTTTTGGTTTTACTATAAAATATTTAGAAATATTTTATAATTAAGATCCAAATGTATACAACTTGATCCACCGAATAAATTTTCTGAAAAATATTTTGATTTTTGTGGATGTTGTATATTAAATAAGGTATCCTGCTGAGTTTTTCATTGTTATTGCTGTAAGCTTGGAATAAGTCATCTTGGATTTTGTAACAACTGGAAAATATAATTTGACATTTTTAAACAAAGACCATAATCATATTTAACGATGAACTCGAGCTCTATTAATTATATTAAACTATAGTCTGCCAATGAGCTACAGTCTAATTAATCATTTTGTCAGCTTTGCTTTCTGGAGCTACTCAATATAAATTTGAATAAATAAGAAGTGGCTGACCCAGAAACCTTTAAATAATCTGAATAGAGATGCGGCAGCTGTAAAGTATCATACCTGTAATATATCCTTATAGCAACACATTTATGCCCTTGTCAGCCACCCATCTTGATTCATGGAACATATGCTCTGCCATTTTAAATATTCCAGTAAGGGAACACTAGGTAATTTTTAAAGTATTTTTAAAGTTTTAATGTTATATTAAGCAAAAGTAATTCTAAGATAAACAGTTTTTATTCATAAGTTTTGTAGATGATATTGTTCTTTGATTGTCACATCAAAATATATCAAAATGCAAGTTATATCAAAGAAATGCAAAGTAACAGATGGTATTCAAATGGAAGTAATGCTTCATAGTGAGATGAGTCATCATTTTTATTGGTCACTTTTAAAGAGTGCTCAGTTGCAAAAAAAATCTTACAGGGAAAAATAAAAGATTTGTGTAGCTTAAAGATAATTTACATAAGAAAAGCCACCACATGCTTTATTTAAGAATTACTATGCTTTAAATTAGCTATCTCATTCCATTTATGTGCATTATTTACCAAAGCTCTGCAGTCTTGAGTTTCTCTTCTTGCTGTGCTGTCCTTGCCCATATGTCATGGTTCACATTCAGAGCTAGGACTGAAAAACAACTGCACTGTTTGTCAGCCAAAAACCAATATGCTTTATTATTAGTCAATTTACAGGTGCGAGAATTTTATTTCAGAATGTAATATTTATTCTAATAAGTCCCTTGAGAACAAAAATTGGGACTATTTTGGGAATTAACTATTGAACTCTAGTGCTCAGAATTAAAAACGAAGAATTTTTTTTTCTATAGGGCCACAACCAAACTAAGCCAACCAGAGTCAGCTTAATTTTCATGACCATAGCTCAACCATCTGCAGTGGTCACATATTAGGACCTAAAAGTACTATGCTTTCTACTCAGATAGGAAAGAATTTGTCCCAAGTATAGGCCCAAATGTATTTTAAAATCCTGAGAAAAGTCTCCAGCATTAAGTGTAAACAATTGAACTGGGATTTGATTAATTTGCCTACGAAATTGCAGTCCTGGTTTTAGTGTATTGTGCAGTGCCTTGATGATGCTGGATATTTATTTTTAACATAACATCTTATGTTTTGAGACTTTTATAATGAAAATAAGAGAAATTTTTTATGGAAGAAAAAATAACCTAACAAAAAGTATAAGTTATTAAGAAAATTAAGACTGAGTCCAAACATCCTGATAAAAAAAATAAGATAAAAATCCATCTGATGAATGTTTCCCAAATCCCAGCTGTTTGAATGTATATCCAGCTGATTGAATTTGTTCACTGATCTTCTGAACGCTTGCTAATGTACAGCCTCAGGGTTTCAGGCTTTTATGGCTCTTGACTATCTTGCCAAAAGCTTGCATCTTTATTGTACCAAATACACCCTTGGCTTAGAGGAACAAACCAAAAACTGTTGTTTCTTATTAACTTTCACAAAAATATTTTACATTTTTGTTGCTACCAAATGTTTTATTATCTATTATAGCTGCTAAAAATATTTCAGAAAAAGTTAAGTTCACATGAATGTAAAACCTAATTTATTTCTGTTAAAACTCATATTCTACTTGCATAGTTTGTATAGCCTAGGTTATATTTCTGACAATTTTGTTGAATCCCTTTTTCAATAATAAACGTAAGGTGGTGTTGAAAGATCCCAGTTGGGCAACAAATGTCTAAATAGGCATCAATTGTTTTAGAAAATAATTCACGTCTGAAACAAGTACTGAAGGTATTTTCTTCCATATTCAGCTGCTATTTACGTGTACCATCAGGTCCCATAACTGCATGTGCATCCTAAAGACCATACCATAATGAACAGTCATCTATTGAAGATACGGCTTGGACAAATATTTCAGTTTCTTATGTAAACCAACTCTTATATCAAGGGCCTTCTAATTAGCTAACGTTAGTTCTTGGAACTGTCTTTCCTAAACGCTATACTTCCTGAGTCAACCTCTGTATCAACATTCAGAGTCTTATGGAAAGAATGTAGTCCTTTGGCTTCCATAAGTATTTGCACTTAGTGACAGAAAAAAATACACTGGTTTTATCTCAGTCCTCCCACTGTAGAAAATTACCGTTTGGGATTTAAAATAAAACAAAAAGGGCTGGCCTATTTTCTGTTAGCTGCTCAATGCTACCTGAATTTTTGATGTGTGTTGAAAACATTGCAAAATTAGAATTCCTAGAAAATGGTGATGGGATTATTTCAAATTATTCAGAAATTATGCAAATTCTCTCTCTTTGTGTGTGTGTACACACGTGTGTGTGTGGTATATGAAATACATTAGAATTGAAATTATTGAGATTTCTTCATCACATAAAATGTCTTCCCATTAATTTGCTGTTGTTCTTACTTTCTTTGCTGACATGGTCTTGCTTTCTGTGTATTTCCTAATTCAATCATTGAATGCTCTTAATGTTAAACATCATATCAGATAAATATATTGTATGCTAATTTTTAACATCTGACTAAGCTTTTTAGCAATAGTGGAATAGCATTGCTTGAAGAATGTGGCATGTAAAGCATCACTGCCACTGCCATGCTCCCTCTGAATATGAAAGACAGTAAACTGTGTTGCCATTAACAGGGAGGTTGTTTTGTGTTTGACTGACTGGTGAAAGATAATTTGCAGTTGACTTACTCTGAAGGAAAGACTTGTTGATTTGATCATGCACTTATAGCTTTAGGTAGAGGATGATAGATTTTTCTATCATTGTGATAAGCTGCAACCTATATGCTTGCTGGTAGATTTGTTTGATTCATCTACTTAACAACTAGCAATGAAAGCTTCATTTGAGAGAGTTCTAAAGATTTCAATTCCAGAGGCCCACAAACCGTCTTAATTTTTCTGTACGTAGTCAATTTTGGTTCAGTTTTAAAGCTAACTATTCTGGTATTTGTTTATTCACAGAAGTGCAGTATCCATTATTCTTCATACAAGCTCACTCTTAGTGGTTTTACTTAAAGAGAGATGTTTATTTTAATCCCTTTTTAACAATACTGTAATCCTTTTATAATAGCCTGGAAAAAATTATTTTGAGTATCATTATTTTGCAGTTTTATTTCATGTAATAAGAAGGAGAGATGGTTCTGTTTCTATCCAAATTTTCTCCCATTATTAAAACTAGCCATTTAGTAAAAAGAAAAATTCTATAGTTCAAAAATCTAAAATAGTATCACAGATTGAAAGCAAATTGATCAATGTTTGATTTTAGGGAGAAAAATATTTACTTATTTACAGAATTTTCTAGATAGTTTCTTAAATTTTAATATTTGTGGTAACATACTAGTTGTATATATTTATGGGGTACAGGAGGTACTTTGATACTTTGATACATGCAATGCATAATTCCATCATGGTAAGTAGGATAGCCATCCCCTCAAGCCTTTAGCCCTTGTGTTACAAACAGTCCAATTACACTATTTATTTTAAAATGTACAATTACATTATTTTTACTGTAGTTACCCTGTTGTGCTATCAAATAATAGGTATTATTCATTCCTTCAAATTATTTTTTATACCCATTAACCATTTCCACTTTCCTCTCCTCCCTGCACTTCCCTTCCCAGCTTCTGGTAACTATCCTTCTACTCTCTATCTCCAGGAGTTCAATTGTTTTAATTGTTAGCTCCCACAAGAGAGTGTGAACATTCAAATTTTGTCTTTTGGTGCTGGTTTATTTCACTTAACATAATGACTTCTAGTTTCATCCATGTTGTTGCAAATGACAAGATGTTATTTATTTTTATGGCTGAATAATACTCCATTGTGTATATTTACCACATTTTCTTTATCCATTCATCTGTTGCTGAACGCTTAGGTTACTTCAAATATTGGCTATGGGAATCACGCTGCAACAAACATAAAAGTGCAGATATACCTTTGATATATTAATTTCCTTTCTTTTGGGTATATACTAAGAAGTAGGATTTCTTGATCATATGGTAGCTCTCTTTTTAGATATTGAAGGAACCTCCAAACTGTTCTCCATAGTGGTTGTAATAATTTACCTTTTGACCAATGGTGTACAAGATTTCCCTTTTCCACACATTCTCAGCAGCATTCAACATTGCCTGCCTTTTGGATAAAAAACATTTTAACTGGTGCAAAATGATATCTCACTGTAGTTTTAATCAGCATTTATCTGATGATCAATGATGTTGAGCATCTTTTCATATAGCTGTTTGCCATTGGTAAGTATTCTTTTGAGAAATGTCTATTCAAGTATTTTGCCAAATTTTAAGTCAGATTATTAGATCTTTTCTTATAGAGTTTTTTGAGCTCCTTATATATTCTGATTATTAGTCCCCTGGGAGACATGTAGATTGAAAATATTTTCTCCCATTCTGTGGGTTGTTTCTTCACTCTGTTGACATTTCCTTTGCTACGAATAACACATTTTAAGAGAAATTACATAAATTTTGAATATATTTTTTCCCAAAGCTTTTTATATTACTCCCTCCACTCTACTTATTTATACCTTATTACCTATGCTATGGTAGATGGTGTTATGGTATTATTGGGCCTTACATTTTACTGCTCCTTGTGTCTACACAATTTGCCATGCAACTTTGCAGTATCTCCAAAAGAAAAAAAAAAGGTAGCATGTGCTGCCTAGTCCCTTTACTTTGGTCTATGGACTGTGACTTGCTATAGATGATAGTGGAATGTGAGAAGATTCATGACAGTGTGATAAACTTGAGTTTCCTCTAGACTTTAAGAAGCCTCACATGCTTCTGTTTTTTTGTTTTTCACCCTTGTACTTACCATAAGAGTTTCTGTCAGAAATCTGGGTAATAGTTATTTCATCAGCCTGGCCCTCAGGGTGAAATAAATGGAATGGAAAAGCATCCAACACATAGTTAAGGTCCCAAGGCCAACTAGGTACACAACTTGAAGAAGAACTACCCTGCCAAGCCAATCCTAGATCAGCTGACTTCCAGCCAATTGTGGATATGTGAGAAATAAATTATTATTATTATATTCCACTGAGATTTTAAAGTTGTTAGTCATGCAGCAGTAAGTGCCTAATGCATGGGTAACACTATGTGATAAATTTTACAAATTTTTCTGTGCACAGTCTTTACTCCCTCCCTGCCCCTAAACCATTGTGCCATGGATATTCACAAAGAAAGATCTTTGGACCATTTACTGAGAGCCAAGTACTGATAAGTCCTTTACATATATCAACACTTTTAATTTTCCCAACATGTCTAAGAGGTAGATACACTTATCACCTCTATTTTACAGATGAAATCAATGCTTAAACAGATTCAATTCTTTTTCTGGGGTCACCCAAGGAGTATGTGATGAACATGAAAAGCAAACCCAAATATAATAAGAATTCTGGAATGTATTTTATGTGTAACTTTAAGTTATTGGACAGCTTTGAGTTGGGTCAGGTTGATATATTTGCTTAATATTTAAATGATTGGATTTGACTTGTTCATTTGTTTGTTTTACTTTTAAACTAAGTGTGAGACTTTCTTCTTTAACCACAATGAAGAAAGAGAGGCTGAGTTTACCTTCCTACCTTAAGCAACTGGAATACTGGACAACATATATGAATCAACTGTTTTTAGGCATTATACGATAGGTAGCCCAAGATTGTGGTCTTAGGAAAGATGCAAACAAATAAGGTAAACCCAGTTTTTGCCCTGAATTTCTTCCTGGAGTTACATTCTGAACCAGAGATCCCAGGGACATATCACAAGTAGAGCATAGCTGTCCTGCTGAGTCCAGGAGAGATAGATCGGAGTTCAGGGTGTGTAAGTTTACAGAAAGTTATAAAGCAGCAATCCAGAGAAGAAGCTATGGAGAAAATAATATGAACATATCTATATAGGATTACTCTTGAGCCTTTACTTAATAGGAAGATGAAAATGAGTAAGGTAAATTCCCACAATATTGGGCAGAAAGCAAATTGGAAGCTACAGTTTAATGGTTCCTAGAGTTCACAGGAGTTCGTGAGTTTTTTCAAGATCCCCCAGTCAGAGTGGAGAGTACTCAGTGATTACTCAGGATATTCATTAGAAACTCTAGAATGTCATTCCATAGTATGGAAGCTAAACTATCATTAGAGAAAAGGCTATTTTGGGCCTATTCGAAAAGTCTTAAAAGCAAGCTTTTAGTGGATTAAACTTCATTGTAATTAAATATCTAACAAAACAAAGCTTAACACTCTTTAATGGTAGACAAAAAAAATATTGAGATACTGAACAATGTAACATTCACAACATCCAGCATCTAAGCAAAATCTACTGGCCATGCTAAAACAAAGAAATCATTAACTCACAACAGGGTAAAAACAAGACAATAGAAATAGACCAAGATGGCCCATGCCTGTAATCCCAGCACTTTGGGAGGCTGAGGTGGGTGGATCACTTGAGATCAGGAGTTCGAGACCAGCCTCACCAACATGGTGAAACCCCGTTTCTACTAAAGATACAAAATTAGTCAGGCATGATGGCACACACCTGTAATCCCAGCTACTTGGGAAGCTGAGGCAGGAGAATCACTTGAATCTGGGAGGCAGAGGTTGCAGTGAGCCAAGATCACACCATTGCACTCCAGCCTGGGCAACAAGAGTGAAACTCCATCTCAAAACAAAACAAAACAAACAAAAAACCAAGGTATGATTACATTTAAGTAATTGAAGCCTTTTTTCTGTTTCATTTTTAGAGATGGGGTCTTGCTCTACAGCCCAGGCTGGATTGCTGTGGTGCAATCATAGCTCACTGCACCCTCAAACTCCTGGGCTCAAGTGATCCTTCTGCCTGAGCCTCTCAAGTAGCTGAGATTAAAGGCAGACACACTGTAGCCAGCTACTTTATATTCAGAAACAGGGTCTTGGTATGGTGCCCAGACTTGTCTTGAACTCCTGGCCTCCAGTGATCTTCCCACCTTGGCCTCTCAAAGCACTGAACTGAGCTACCTTGCTCAGACTAACTGGAGTCTTTTGATCAACTTTTGACGAGTTTTCAGAATTATTTCATGCAAACAGAAAATATGCCTTGACCTGCTTATACTGTTTGAAATATATTGAAGTTGTTTTTAAGTTACCATAATAATTTCTCATAAATGAACCATGGGTGCTTATGTGAGCCTTAAGCCTGGCCAAACTTTCTCAGGCTAAAAATAATAAATGAACACCACTTTAGTGAAGATATCTTTTAGAAAAACATCTTTGGCCTACAAATATCAATCACCTAAGCCCTTTTCAGTAATAGAATTGTGGGATGTTGGGGCCACACTTCAAAAAATTTATTATCCAGATAAATCAGAAAGACTAATACTCTAGAAAAATTAATGAACCATTCAGTGTCAATTATATTTTAATGTTAAATTATTTCATACAGATTGGATTACCGGGTTGGAAATCACAGAGAGACTAAAACACGTCCTGGGCTTTAAAAAATGTTTAGGATCATGGTGCATCTCTGCTGAGACAATAACATTTTAGTTGAGCAAAACAATGAGAGTAAAACAATGCAGGGTTATTATGATGTTTTAAAATTAGTAGTAGATCCTGGTATTTGCAAGGAAGAATTTTAAAAAGTATATTGAAGAATAAATTTATTATAATTTTTCCTGAATCCAAATGTTCTTGAAATTTGGGTATGTGGTTCTTGAACTTACTCATCATATCAGAGCAAAAATGTTAATGAACTGAACTGGGCAATATGTACTTATATGCAAATTTGAGCATGGAATTAAATTACTGGCATAAAACAATGTGTCTACAGATGTGGAAAATCAATTAAAAGACTTAAAAAACTATTTTGATTGCATTTATCAACCTTTTTATCACTGCATAATAAATGATTAGGAAATAAACTATTATAATGGTTAAAATGCAATTGTGTACAGGCATATCTCAGAGATATCGTGGGTTAAGTTCCAGATCACCATAATAAAGTGAATATCATACTAAAGCAAGTCACATTATTTTTAAAGTTTTCCAATGCATATAAAAGTTGCATTTACACATTGCTGTAGTCTATGAAATGTACAATAGCATTATGTCTAAGAAACAATGTATATACTGTAATTTAAAAAATAGACAAAAAAAGGCCAACAGATATATGAAAAAATGCTCATCATTAATCATCAGGGAAATGCAGATTAAAACCATAATGAGATGTCACCTTACCTTGATTAAAATGACTATTATTAAAAAGAAAAAAAACAAATGTTGGTGAGGATACAGAGAAAAGGGAACTCTTATACACTGTTGATGGGAATGTAAATTAGTACAGCCTCTATGGAAAAGAGTATGGATATTTCCTTAAACACTAAAATTAGAAGTACCATGCAATCCAACAATCCCACTACTGGGTATTTATCCAAAGGAAAGCATATCAAGATATTTAAGGGATACTCACACTTCTGTGCATTTCAGTACAATTTATAATAGCAAAGGTATAGAATCAATCTAAGTGTTCATCAATGGATTAATGGATAAAAAAGATATGGTTTGTATACACAATATAATACTATTTAGCCATAAAAATTAAAACATGTCATTTGCAGCAACACGGATAAAACTGAAGTCATTATGTTAAGTAAAATAAACCACGCACAGAAAGACAAATATCACGTTCTTCCTCATGTAGGAGCTAAAAGAGCTGAACTCATGGAGACAGAAGCATAGAATGATAGATACCAGAGACTGAGAAGAGTGCATGGGTGGCTGAAGGGAAAATGAAGAGAGATCAGTTAACAGGTACAATCATGCAGATAGAATGAACACATCTAAATAGCAGAGTATGGTGATTATAGTTAAAAACAATCAAAGTATGATATATTTCAAAATAGCTAGAAAAGAGGACGTTAAATGTATTCAATACATAGAAATGATAAATATTGAGGTGATGAGTACTCTACATACTCTGATTTAATCATTATCTATTCTATGCATGTAACACAATTTCACAGGCACTTCCTAAATATGTACAAATGTAATGTATCAAAAAATTAAAAATACTTTATTGCTGAAAAACGCTAATGATCATATGAGCTTTCATGTAATTGTAACATTTTTGCTGGTGGAGGGACTTGCTGTTGGAGGACTTTGACTTCATATCAATGCGCAGTAAGGGGCAAAATGAGAGAATTTGACCCATGTATTACCTTTCTGATTGATCACAGTTGCGGTTATTGAAGGTTGGCGTGGTTGTGGCGATTTTTTAAAATAAGACAGCAATGCAGTTTGCTGCATCAATTGACTCTTCCTTTCATGAAATATTTCTCTGTAGCATGTGATGATATTTGATAGAACTGTTAGGAACGGCATAAGCAGATATGAGCAGGACAGAATAGGGCCCCAAAGAATGTCAGGCGACTGTCAGTTGACTATCAGGTGATTGTCATGCAGCTGATGGCATGTAGGGGAAAATTTCCTAACAAAACAGGAGACATCTTGAGCTCATGGGCAACAACTTACCAATAAAAACTTAAAATGGTGAACTTTGATCTTGCTCTGGGGACATGTCCAGGCATGCACAGTAAGAGAAGTAAGGGACAAAATGGCGAAGTTTTTCCTTCCTCTGGGAGCATGTCCAGGCATGCGTAGTAAGGGGCAAAATGGCAGAATTTGACCCATGTATTACCTTCCTCTGGGAGCACTAGCTCAGTAGGAGCAAATCTCCCCAAGAAAGCAGATGCATAATTTCAACCACCATATGGTGCACGAGAACCCTCCCAGATACCGGCAAGACACTGTGCATGTTTTGATTAGCCAACAGCTTTCTCAGGGGGAGAGATGACAGGAAATAGTGTTATAAATCTAAAAGAGCCCTGAGCTAACAATCAAGCAAGTCACTCAATCCTTTAAGTTGCTTGCTTGGTTTCTTCCAAGTGTACTTTTCTTTGCTTCAGTAATCTCTTGTTTCTGCCTTAAATCAACTTTTTTTTCTCTTGGCCAAATTATTTCTCCCAAGAAGACAAGAATTGAGGATTGTGTACCCCACCCAGACTCGCCACCAGTAACATATTTTATTGCCATGACTCAGATTGCTGCCTCTTGGTGAGACCCCTCTGTGCCTCACCTTCCTCAATTGAAGGCGCCTAGCTCTGCTTACATGAGGTCTTCTTTCTCTAATTTTCTCACTCACTAACCAGCCTCCACAACAAGGACTGGAGACCTTCATTTTCTTAACTAAAACTGGCTTCTCCACAATAAGTCTGAACCCCGTTCTGCTTCTTTTTGGGGACAAGTTAGCTGCTTCTCTACTTTTGCTTTATGTATCCCATGACTTTTTTCTCTGCTTAACACTTGGAGGAACATGACTCCCCCAACTCCTTATTACCTATTATGTATTTTTAATTCTTGCTAGACTATAAGACCAGGTTTTCCAGTGGCTCTTGAGGTGATTTGTTCACCTCCATAGGGCATCTGTCTGTGGCCCATTAATATTATCTCCCATCTCCCTTCTACAGCTATCCCTACTTTGGGAAGAGGGACAATTCTTTCTCTAGCTTTTGTGGACTCCTGTCCCAAACTCCTGGCCATCTGGTGGTTTCTCCTCTATGTCAAGAATGCCAATAAGCATTGTCCTTTTTGTTCTGAGGGCTACTGATTTTTGTGAATGCACAAAAACATCTCACAAATGTCTTTTTCATTCTCTCCCATTCCCACCAATCTCAGAGAAATTGTCCTGCTTTTTAAATACTTGTTTTGCATGCTTCCCCAAGAACCCACATTGGCAATGATGGGGACTCAAATGCAGGCTTTTCTCCACTCCTCTGCCGTTTGTAACGTGCACCAGGACACATGCCATTCACAACACGCACCAGGACCTCAAGTGCTGTATCTAGGAAAGAAATGCCCAGTTCTCTTACAGCTACTGGCTGAGGATAAGGTCCTTACGTACCTACAGGGACATGAGAAATGGGAATATGAAAGAATTGAAAACCATTTCATTACTGGAAGCTACAAATGAGAGTGACTGTAAGGTTATGGGGTTAAAGGTACAGCCCAGCTAGAAGCCATAAGTGCAGAGCAGATTACCATTAGGACACAGATGAAGGCTTGCCCTAGAAGGACAATGAAGTACCAAGGTTAGGGGTACCTGGTAAGCAGCAGTTTAATTTGAAAGCCCAGGATGTATGGAAGATGCCCTATTCAATCCTGTCTATGGTATAAGGGGAACAAGAAAGGACTCTTTCTTCTTCCTTCCTCTGCTCTGTTTTGTTTTACAGATGGGTAATCATACCCCTATACCCTGGGGCTCAACACTTGGATAAATCCTTAAGACTGGGGATAAATTTGACCCACAAATCCTAAAATAAAAAACACTTTTCCATTTTAGAATCAGAAGGCCAGAGAAAGAAAGTATAAATTTTAATAGCATCCTCCAGCAGAACCTATTCATATTTTTTTTAATTTTTAATGTTCTTTAACATTTTCGTGGGCACATAGTAGGTGTATATATTTATGGGATACACGGAATGTTTTGAAGCAGGCATACAATATGAAATAAGAACATCAAGGGGAATGGGGTATTCATCCCCTGCAGCATTTACCCTTTGAGGTATGAACAATCCAATTACACTATGGAAGTTATGTTAAAATGTGTAATTAAGTTATTATTGACTATAGCCACTCTGTTGTGCTTTCACATAGTAGGTCTTATTTATTCTTTATAACTACTTTTTTTTTTACACCCATTAAACTTCCCCCACTTCACGCAGCCAACCTTCCAAGACTCTGGTGAACATCCTTCTATTCTCTATATCCATGAGTTTAGATCCCACAAATAAGTGACAACATCCGATGTTTGTCTTTCTGTGCCTAGCTTATTTCACTTAGCGTAATGATCTCCAGTTCCAACCATGTTGTTGCAAAGGACCAAATCTCATTCTTTTTTTATGGCTGAATACTAACACATTGTGTTTATGTACCACATTTTTTTATCCATTCATCTAGTGATGGATACTTATGTTACTTCCAAATCTCAGCTATTGTAAACAGTGCTGCAAAAAACATAGAACTGGATATATCTCTTCAATATACCGATTTCTCAATTTTGGGATATATGCCCAGTAGTGGGATAGCTGGATCATATTGTAGACCAACTTTTAGTATTTTCAGGAACTTCTAAACTGTTCTCTATAGTGGTTGAATTAATTTACATTCCCACCAACGGTGTACAAAGGTTCCCTTTTCTCCACATCCCCACCATCATTTATTGCCTGTCTTTTTGATATAAGCCATTATAACTGGGGTGAGATGATATCTCATTGAAGTTTTGATTTACATTTCTCTGATGATCAGTTATGTTGAGACTGTTTTCATATGCCTGTTTTTATTTGCATATCTTCTTTTGAGAAATGTCTATTCAAATCTTTTGACCATTTTTCATGAAATCATTAGACTTTTTCATTTAGAATTGGTTGAGTTACTTATACATTCTGTTTACTAATCTTTTGCCACATGGGTAATTTTCAAATATTTTATCCCATTCTGTGGGTTATATCTCCACTTTGTTGATTGTATCCTTTTCTGTGCATAAGCTATTTAACTTGATGTGATCTCATTTGTCCATTTTTGCTTTTGTTGCATGTGCTTGTTGGGAATTGCTAAAAAAAAATCTTTGCCCACATCAATGTGTTGGAGATTTTTTCTGAAGTTTTCTTGTAGTAGTTTAATAGTTGCAGTTCTTAAATTTATATCTTTAGTTTACTTGATTTTATTTTTGTGTCTAGTTTGATTATTATGCATATGGATAGCCAGTGTACCCAGCATCATTTATTGAAGAGACTATCTTGTCCCCAGTATATGTTCTTAGTATCTTTGTCAAAAATGAGTTCACTGTAGGTGTGTGGATTTGTTTCCGGGTTCTCTGTTCTGCTGCATTGGTCTATTTTTCTGTTTTTTATGCCAGTTCCACGCTGTTTTTGTTACTATGGCTCTGTAGTATAATTTGAAGTTGGGTAATGTGATTCCTAAAGTTTTATTCTTGCTTAGGATGACCTGAAGCCAGCACAGAACTGTCTCACCCAAGGCCTGCTGTAACCATTTCCTGGCTACTGCCTATGTTCACTCAAGGCTGTGAAGCTCTACAATCAGAAGGTGACAAAGCCAGCCAGGCCTGTGTCTTTCCCTTTAGGGCAGCAAGGTTTCCCAGGCCCCAGGTGGGTCAAGAAGTGCTGTTCTGGAGTTAGAGACTAGAATCTAAAAATTGTAGAAGTCGACTTGTTTTTCTATTGTATTGCCATCCTATCTGGCACCCAAACCATAACACAAGTGGCACTCTTTCCCACTTTTTTCTCCTCTTTCCAAAGGCGGAGGAGCTTCATCCCATAGCCACCATCATCCCAGGCCATTAGTACTGCCAGACTACCACTGATTTTCCCTTAAGGCCCAACGTCTCTTATATCCACTTGTCATGAATTCTGCTTGGCCTGCGACTCATGCTTCAGGGCACTGAGCTCACCTCTGTCCCAGGGCAGGTCCAGAAATGTCATCCAAGAATAAAGTCCTGAAATTGAAGACCCCAAGAGCATGCTTGGTGCTCTATCATCCTGTGGCAGTTTTGGTACCTAAGGTGCAAGAAAAAGTCTCCTTTACTGTACCCTCTGCTTTTCTAATGAAGAATGAGTTTTGCCCCATTTCCACCACAGCTGGTAACTTGCTAAGTCTCACCTGAAGCCAGGAGTCTCATAAGCTCACTAAGGCCCTTAATGTAGTACCTAGGTATTGCTTCTGGTTTTTCAGGGCTCAAGGGATCTTCAATTGGAAGCTGATAAATGCTGGTAGGACTGGGTTCTTTCCTTCAAGGCAGTGGGTTCCCTTTGGCTCAGGGTGTATCTAGAAATGTTGTCCTGGAGCTAGCGCCTGGAACAGGGGTCTCATGACTCTGACTAGTGCCTTATCTTGCTGTGGATGAGGCAGCATCCAAGATGCAAGACAAAGTCTCCTCTTTCCTTTCCTCTCCTTAAGCAGAAAGAAAGGGTCTCTTCTGGATCCATGAGCTGTGCAACCTGGGATTAGGAGAGTGGTACTGCCATCACTCCCTTGGCTGCCCCAGCTGTTTTTTCAATATGTTGCATTCCCTCTTAATCCACTGTCTCTTGGCCTAGTTCAACACTAGGACTCACCTAAGAGCTGCAGTCTTTATGGCCTAGACTAATTTTCAAGTTTGCTTGGAGACACAGCGTGCTGTAGTCCTTGCTGGTGAGGTTTGCAAGCACTCAAGTTTAGACTACTGGGATTTGTGATTCCCTTTTGGCTAGGGCTGGTTTGAATGCTCCCTTCATGGGCAAGCCTCAACTGAGTTTGGTCATGTGTTTCTATCTGCTCTTTCAGGGTAGCACTGAGTTCACTGCCTCACAATTGCTGTCTTTTCTCTCCCCCAGCACCCAGAGATGCTCTCTACACCAGGCCACTGCCCTTATGGGTGTGGGAAGGGTATTGGCAGTTCAGGACTTTTTTTTTTATCTCTTCAATTTCTTTATTAACGATATGAATTTAATACCAGGTACTATAAGTGCTTACCTGATTTTTGGTACTTATGAAGGTTGTTTTTTGTTTTGTTTTGTTTTTGTTTTTTTTTGTTCTGTGTGGATTTTGCCTTGGTGTATTTCTGGTGGGGGGGTATGATCATTGAAGCTTTTTTATTCAGCCATCTTGTTTAACTTCTGATTCCAGCCGGACCTTTTCTGCCACCATCAGGGCAAATAGTCAGGGCCTATTTATAAACCTTCATAACCTGGAGGGAAGACCTTAATCCTTGTAAAGCTTGTAAGGCAGACTTCATCATCCTAGCTATGCTTAGCCACCTGCTCCAGGACTCTCCATTAGGAGGCCTTGGACACTTACCTGCTGAATACCTTCTGATATATCTCTTCCAGAAGCCAAAGGGAAAAACTGCCTCCTCTTCCAGAGGCCAAATTAGGCTCCTTCCCCTATTTATGCCACTCCCAGACCTTTGGAATTGACCCTACCCTACACTGGGCTCCTTATTTCTCCCTCCAGACCCTGCCCATTACAGGAGGTAAGAGACCCATTCAGACCCATCCAGGTCCAGGTCCAGTTCCCATTTTTCATGCAGGACCTTTGGCAAATTAGGAAAACCAAGGAAAGTTCTTGGAAGACCCCAAGAAGCTAAAGGAGGGCTTCCAATTTTCTTTTAACATTTAGATTATCTTGGATGAAGATAAATTTTGGAGGGGAGAAGCCCTCAAATGAGAGAAAACAGAAACTGTGAAAGCAGCAATTTATTGTGGGGATGACTTACACCTGGCAAATGCTACCCACACTGAAGGGACTACAGTTGTTTCCCAACAAAATCCCTGTTGGGACTACAATACCCAAGTGGGAATATGGGCCAGCAGCTATATGCTCCTAATAGAGGCAGCAAAATAGAGTAAGGTCAACCCTACAAGCCATAATAAAATACACACTGTACATAAGGGGACAAATGAATTTTTTTTGCATTGCTCAGATGATATTTATTACTATTTCTGCCACCTATATAATTTTTTTATTATTACACTTTAAATTCTGGGGTACATGTGCAGAATGTGCAGGTTTGTTACATAGGTATACACGTGCCATGGTGGTTTGCTGCACCCATCAACCCACCATCTATATTAGGTATTTCTCCTAATGCTATCCCTCCCCTAGCCCCCTACAATCCAACAGGCCCCAGTATGTGATATTCCCCTCCCTGTGTCCATGTGTTCTCATTGTTCAACTCCCACCTATGAGTGAGAACATGTGGTGTTTGGTTTTCTGTTCCTATGTTAGTTTGCTGACAATGATGGTTTCCAGCTTCATCCATGTCCCTGCAAAGGACATGAACTCACCCTTTTTTATGGCTGCATAGTATTCCATGGTGTATATGTGCCACATTTTCTTTATCCAGTCTATCGTTGTTGGGCACTTGGGTTGGTTCCAAGTCTTTGCTATTGTGAACAGTGCTGCAGTAAACATACGTGTGCATATGTCTTTATAGTACAATGATTTATAATCCTTTGGGTATATACCCAGTAATGGGATGGCTGGGTCAAATGGTATTTCTGGATCTAGATCCTTGAGGAATCGCCACACTGTCTTCCACAATGGTTAAACTAATTTACACTGCCACCAACAGTGTAAATGCGTTCCTATTTCTTCACATCCTCTCTAGCATCTGTTGTTTCCTGACTTTTTAATGATCACCATCCTAACTGGCTTGAGATGGTATCTCATTGTGGTTTGATTTGCATTTCTCTAATGACCAGTGATGATGAGCTTTTTTTCGTATGTTTGTTGGCTGCATAAATGTCTTCTTTTGATAAGTGTCTGTTTATATCATTCACCCACTTTTTGATGGGGTTGTTTGTTTTTTTCTTGTAACTTTGTTTAAGTTCTTTGTAGATTCTAGATATTAGCCCTTTGTCAGATGGATAGATTGCAAAATTTTTCTCCCATTCTGTAGGTTACTGTTCACTTTGATGATAGTTTCTTTTGCTGTGCAGAAGCTCTTTAGTTTAATTAGATCTCATTTGTCAATTTTGGCCTTTGTTGCAATTGCTTTTGATGTTTTAGTCATGAAGTTTTTGCCCATGCCTAGGTCCTGAATGGCATTGCCTAGGCTTTCTTCTACAGTTTTTATGATTTTAGGTCTGAAGTTTAAGTCTATAATCCATCTTGAGATAATTTACCTATAAGGTGTAAGAAAGGGGTCCAGTTTCAGTTTTCTGCATATGGCTAGCCTATTTTCCCAACACTGTTTATTAAATAGGGAATACTTTCCCCATTGCTTGTTTTTGTCAGGTTTGTCAAAGATCAGATGGTTGTAGAAGTGTGGTGTTATTTCTGAGGCCTCTGTTCTGTTCCATTGGTCTATATCTCTGTTTTGGTACCAGTACCATGCTGTTTTGGTTACCGTAGCCTTGTAGTGTAGTTTGAAGTCAGGTAGCATGATGTCTCCAGCTTTGTTCTCTTTGCTTAGGATTGTCTTGGCAATGCATGCTCTTTTTTGGTTCCATATGAAATTTAAAGTAGTTTTTTCTAATTCAGTGAAGACAGTCAGTTGTAGCTTGATGGGGATAGCATTGAATCTACAAATTACTTTGGGCAGTATGGCCATTTTCATGATATTGATTATTCCTATCCATGAGCATGGAATGTTTTCCCATTTATTTGTGTCCTCTCTTATTTCCTTGTGCAGTGGTTTGTAGTTATCCTTGAAGAGGTCTTTCACATCCTTGTAAATTGTATTCCTAGGTATTTTATTCTCTTTTCAGCAATTGTGAATGGGAGTTCACTCATGATTTTGCTCTCTGTTTGTCTGTTCTTGGTATATAGGAATGCTTGCGATTTTTGCACATTGATTTTGTATCCTGAGACTTTGCTGAAGTTGCTTATCAGCTTAAGGAGATTTTGGGCTGAGACAATGAAGTTTTCTAAATATACAATCATGTCATCTGCAAACAGAGACAATTTGACTTTCTCTTTTCCTAATTGAATACCCTTTATTTCTTTCTCTTGACTGATTGCCCTGGCCAGAACTTCCAATACTATGCTGAATAGGAGTAACTTCCAATACTATGTTGAATAGGAGTGGTGAGAGAGGGCATCCTTGTCTTATGCCGGTTTTCAAAGGGAATGTTTCCAGCTTTTGCCAATATCGTGTAATATTGGCTGTGGGTTTGTCATAAATAGCTCTTATTATTTTGAGGTATGTTCCATCAATACCTAGCTTATTGAGAGTTTTTAGCATGAAGGGGTGTGAATTTTGTCGAAGACCTTTTCTGCATCTATTGAGATAATCATGTGTTTTTTGTCTTTGGTTCTGTTTATGTGATTGATTACATTTATTGATGTGCGTATGTTGAACCAGGCTTGCATCCCAGGTATGAAGCCAACTTGATCGTGGTGGATAAGCATTTTGATGTGCTGCTGGATTCAGTTTGCCAGTATGTTATTGAGGATTTTTGCTTCGATATTCATCAGAAATATTGGCCTGTAATTTTCTTTTTTTTGTTGTGTCTCTGCCAGGTTTTGGTATCAGGATGATACTGGCCTCATAAAATAAGTTAGGGAGGATTCCCTCTTTTTCTATTGTTTGGAATAGTTTCAGAAGGAATGGTACTAGCTCCACTTTGTAGCTCTGGTAGAATTCAGCTGTGAATCCGTCTGGTCCTGGATTTTTTTTGTTTGGTAGGCTATTAATTACTGCCTCAATTTCTGAACTTGTTATTGGTCTATTCAGGTATTCGACTTCTTCCTGGTTTAGACTTGGGAGGGTGTATGTGTCCAGGAATTTATCCCTTTCTTCTAGATTTTCTAGTTTATTTGCAAAGAGGTGTTTATAGTATTCTCTGATGGTAGTTTGTATTTCTGTGGGATCAGTGGTGATATCCCCTTTATCATTTTTACTGTGTCTATTTGATTCTTCTCTCTTTTCTTCTTTATTATTCTGGCCAGGAGTCTTTTTTGTCAATCTTTTCAAAAAACCAGCTCCTGTAATTCATTGATTTTTTGAAGGGTTTTTCATGTCTCTATCTCCTTCAGTTCTTCTCTGATCTTAGTTATTTCTTGTCTTCTGCTAGCTTTTGAATTTGTTTGCTCTTGCTTCTCTAGTTCTTTTAAGTGTGCTATTAGGGTGTCGATTTTATATCTTTCCTGCTTTCTCTTGTGGGCATTTAGTGCCATAAATTTCCCTCTAAACACTGCTTTAAATATGTCTCAGAGATTCTGGTACATTGTGTCTTTGTTCTCATTGGTTTCAAAGAACATTTTTATTTCTGCCTTCATTTTGTTTTTTACCCAGTAGTCATTCAGGAGCAGGTTGTTCAGTTTCCATGTAGTTGCGTGGTTTTGAGTGAGTTTCTTAATCCTGAGTTCTAATTTGGTTGCACTGTGGTCTGAGAGACTGTTTGTTATGATTTCTGTTTTTTTTTTTTTGTTGTTGTTGTGGTTTTTTTTTTTTTTTTGCATTTGCTGAGGAGTGTTTTGCTTCCAATTATGTGGTCAATTTTAGAATAAGTGTGATGTGGTGCTGAAAAGAATGTATATTCTGTTGATTTGGGGTGGAGGTTTCTGTAGATGTCTATTAGGTCTGCTGGGTCCAGAGCTGAGTTCAAGTCCTGAATATCCTTGTTAACTTTCTGTCTCATTGATCTGTCTAATATTGACAGTGGGATGTCAAAGTCTCCCACTACTATTGTGTGGGAGTCTAAGTCTCTTTGTCAGTCTCTAAGAACTTGCTTTATGAATGTGGGTGTTCCTGTATTGGGAGCATATATATTTAATATAGTTAACTCTTCTTGTTGGATTAATCCCTTTACCATTATGTAATGCCCTTCTTTGTCTCTTTTGATCTTTGTTGGTTTAAAATCTGCTTTATCAGAGACTAGAACTGCAATCCCTGCTTTTTTTTTTTGCTTTCCATTTGTTTGGAAAATCTTCCTCCATCCCTTTATTTTGAACCTATGTGTTTCTTTGCATGTGAGATGGATCTCCTGAATACAGCACAGCGATGGGTCTTGACTCTTTATCTAATTTGCCAGTCTGTGTCTTTTAATTGGGGCAATTAGCCATTTACATTTAAGTTTAATATTGTTATGCATCAATTTGAGCCTGTCACTATGATGCTAGCAGGTTATTTTGCCCGTTAGCTTATGCAGTTTCTTCATAGTGTCAATGGTCTTTACAATTTGGTATGTTTTTGCAGTGGTTGGTATCAATTGTTCCTTTCCATGTTTAGTGCTTCCTTCAGGAGCTCTTGTAAGGCAGTCCTGGTGGTGACAAAATCTCTCAGCATTTGTTTGTCTGTAAAGGATTTTATTTCTCCATTGCTTTGAAGCTTAGTTTGGCTGGATATGAAATTCTGGGTTGAAAATTCTTTTATTTAAGAATGTTGAATATTGGCCCCCACTCTCTTTTGTCTTGTAGGGTTTCTGCAGACAGATACACTCTTAGTCTGGTGGGCTTCCCTTTGTGGGTACCCCGACCTTTCTCTCTGGCTGCTGTTAACATTTTTTCCTTCTCTTCAACTTTGGTGAATCTGACGATTATGTGTCTTGGGGTTGCTCTTCTCAAGGAGTATCTTAGTGGTGTTCTCTGTATTTCCTGAATTTGAATGTTGGCCTGTCTTGCTAGGTTGGGGAAGTTTTCCTGGATAATATCCTGAAGAGTGTTTTCCAACTTGGTTCCATTCTCTCTGTCACTGTCAAGGACACCAAACAAACGTAGATTTGGTATTTTCACATAGTCCCATATTTCTTGGAGGCTTTGTTCTTTCCTTTTCATTCTTTTTTTTCCTAATCTTTTCTTCCCACTTTATTTCATTAAGTTGATCTACAATCTCTGATATCCTTTTTTCTGCTTGATTGATTTGGCTATTGATATTTGTGTATGCTTCCTGAAGTTCTCTTGCTGTGTTTTTCAGCTCCATCAGTTCATTTAAGTTCTTCTCAATACTGTTTATTCTGGTTAGCAATTTGTCTAACCTTTTTTCAAGGTTCTTAGCTATGTTGCATTGGGTTAGAACATGCTCCTTTAGCTTGGAGGAGTTTGTTATTACCCACCTTCTGAAGCCTATCTCTGTCAATTAGTCAAACGCATTCTCTGTCCAGTATTGTGCCCTAGCTGGCGAGGAATTGTAATCCTTTGGAGGAGAAGAGGCATTCTAGTTTTGGGAATTTTAAGCCTTTTTTCACTGGTTTCTCCTCATTTTCGTAGATTTATCTACCTTTGGTCTTAGATGTTGGTGACCTTCAGATGGGGTCTCTAAGTGGACGTCCTTTTTGTTGTTGATGCTATTTCTTTCTGTTTGTTGGTTTTCCTTTTAACAGTCAGGCTCCTCTGCCTCAGGTCTGCTGGAATTTGCTGGAGGTCCACTACAGACCCTGTTTGCCTAGGTATCACCAGAGGAGGGTGCAGAACAGCAAAGATTGCTGGCCAAATAGGAAGAGCTCTGGTCTGCAGCTCCCAGAGAGATCGACAGAGAAGGTGAGTGATTTCTTCATTTCCAACAGAGGTACCCAGTTCATCTCACTGGGACTGGTTGAACAGTGGATGCAGCCCACAGAAGGTGAGCCAAAGCAGGTTGGGGTGTTACCTCACCCAGGAAGTGCAAAGGGCCTGGGAATTCCCTCTCCAAGCCAAGGGAAGCCATGAGGGACTGTCCTGTGAGGAACGCTGCATTCTGGCCCAGATACTGTGCTTTTACCATGGTCTTTACAACCTGCAGACCAGAAGATTCCCTCCTGTGCCTACGCCACCATGGCCTTGGGTTTCAAGCACAAAACTGGGTGGCCACACTGAGCTAGCTGCAGGAGTTTTTTTTCATACCCCAGTGGCACCTGGAATGCCAGCGAGACAGAACCATTCACTCCTCTGGAAAGGGTGCTGAAGCCAGGGAGCCAAGTTGTCTGGCTCGGCGGGTCCCACCCCCCATGGAGCCTAGCAAGTTAAGATCCACTGGCTTGAAATTCTCACTGCCAGCACAGCAGTCTGAGGTTGACCTGGGATGCTCGGGCTTGGTGGGAGAAGGGGCATCTGACATTGCTGAGGCTTGAGTAGGTAGTTTTACCCTCACAGTGTAAATAAAGCTTCCAGGAAGTTCAAACTAGGCAGAGCCCACTGCAGCTCAGCAAGGCTGCTGTGGCCAGACTGCTTCTCTAGATTCCTCCTCTCTGGGCAGGGCATCTCTGAAAAAAAGGGAGCAGCCCCAGTTAGGGGCTTATAGATAAAACCCCCATCTCCCTGGGACGGAGCACCTGGGGGGAAGGGTGGCTTCATCAGACTTATACGTCCCTGCTTGACAGCTCTGAAGAGAGCAGAAGATCTCCCAGCATAGCATTCGAGCTCTGCTAAGTATCAGACTGCCTCCTCAAGTTGGTGCCTGACACCCGTGTCTCCTGTTTGGGAGACACCTCCCAGTAGGGGCTGACAGGCACCTCATACAGGATAGCTCTGGCTGGCATCTGGCAGGTGTCCCTCTGGGAGGAAGCTTCCAGAGGAAGGAACAAATGAAAATGTTATAGCCTTTCTCATAAAGCCACAGGAAACCCTTATTAAGTACATCGACTTAAACCCAGAATCCCCGAAGGAACAAGCAGTCATAAAAGATCGTTTATTTACCCAAGCCACCCCAAATATTAGGAAAAGTTGCAGAAGTCAGCCTTGGGACCCAGTGCCCCTATGCCAGAAATCCTCAAATTAGTCGCCTCAGTCTTCTATAACCCAGATCAGGATGAAGAGGTCAGGGCTGAGGAGAGAAAGAAATGCAAGCACAAAAGGCAGGCTCAACTGTTGGCTGCCTTACAATCCTACCAGCTTCCTCCAGGGTGCCCTAAGGACACTCTTCCAGGTAATTGCCATTATTGTAGAAGACTGGGCCACTGGAGAAAGAATTGCCAAAATGAGGAAAAACCCCACATAGCCCCACATAGGAAGCCAAATGTCTTCCTGGTTGTACCCCCATCCAATAATGGCCTTGAGCTAAAGGGGCCCTCTGCTCTAGTCAGCTTCCAAATCAGAGATCATAATTAAAGGAGTAGAGCCAGGGGCAGATCTGGAAGTGGCAGGTAGAACTATAAATTTCCTTTTAAATACAAGGTCCATGTACTTTGTGCTGACTTTTTTCTTTGGGCAGCTTTTTTTCCAAATCCTGTCAGAAAATGGGGGCAAATATCACCCTCTCCCTCAAAATATTCAAACCCTATTACATTGCTTATAGGACCAATTACTGTTCTCCCACCTGCTCCTGGCAATGTCAAAATGCCTCATGACACTTTTGAGTAGGACTATACTTTCCAAAATTGGTACCTGCTTAATATTTACTCAACTCCCAAATTTATCTTTCCTCCAATAGCCAAATTTCTCCTGAGAAAGCTGACTGTTCTATTACAGGACTCTAGAGATAGCCCACCCTTATTCAGACAAGCCCTAGTTAAAAAAAAAAAAATCTAACAACAATGTGTCTTGAAGGGGGACAACTTTAACCTAATGATGACATCTCTTGAAGGGGGACAACTTCTATAGTATGTAGATGACCTACTCATCTGCTCCCCTTTCACAGAACCCAATAGCTATCAAAGTTCCTGGCATCTTAAGTTGGATCCAACATTCCCAAATAAAACCTTGGAAAGGTTGCAAAGAACCAATTAAAGGACCAAAACCTGAGTATTCTTATGAGTGATTGGAGAATTTAAAATGTATCTTTAAATGAAAAGATAAGTAATTCCTTCATTTTTTTTCAAACTATTTCTACCTCAATATAAGGCAGCCCCAATACTGTGGATCTGATTAATGGTGACATTGCTCATTCTTAAACTTGGTTCAACACCAACATTCCCCAGTGGGCCTGTACCTCTGCCCCTCCATATATTTTTTATATAGACCTAAACAAATGTAAACTGCTCTGTGAGGGAAGTTATAAAAGAACTTATGCAATTTATTCACTTGCAAACTTCTTTATTTGCATAGATAACACAACATGCAGAGGAAGGTGCTCAAGGGCTTCTGGCACCACAAGAATAAGTGTAACCATCATTAACATTACAAATTCCCAAGAAAAATGACCTGTTGGCCTTATACTAGCTTATAGTAGTTAAGGTGAGGTTTTATTAGTTTTCTTTCTCTTGTTTGTTTATTTGCTTATGCAAATAGTGTCAGGTTAAAAAAATGGGTTATAAGATAGTATTTGGAAGCCTCATGGTAACTTCAAACCAAAGAACATACAATGAAAACACACACATGCAAAGCAAGAAATTAAATTATTTCATCAGAGAAAATCAACTTTTCTAGAGAGAGTGGGAAATGAAAGAAAGGAAAAAGAGAAGAAAAAGAATCAGAAAACAATTAATGAAATGGCAGAAATAAGTCCTTGCTTATTAATAAAAACATTGGATGTAAATGGAATAAACAGCCTAACCAAAAGACATACACTGGCTGAATGGCTGAAAAAAACTAAACCCATTGATCTGTCACCTACAAAAAAACACACTCTACCTATAAAGACACAAATAGCATAAAAATAAAAAGATTAAGAAAGATATTCCATGCCAATGAAAACAACAAAAGAGCAAGAATTGCTATGGTTATATCAGACAAAATAGCTTTGAAGACTATGAAAAGGGAAAACAACTATAAGAAGAGACAAAGAAGGTCTTTATACAATGATAAAGGGTCAATTCCTCAAGAGAATATAAACATTTAAAATAGATATGCACCCAACACTGGAGCACCCACACAGATAAAGGAAATATTAGAGCTAAAGAAAGAGATAGGTCAGAGTAATAGCTGGGTATTTCAACACCCCACTTTTAGCATTGTAGAGACTTTCCAGACAGAAAATCAACTAACAACCATCAGATTTAATTGGCACTATAGAACAAATAGAGCTAATTGATATTTACAGAACATTTTATCCAATGGGTGCAGAATATGCATTATTTTTTTCTCAGCACATGGATCATCTTCAAGTATAGACCATACATTAGGTCACAAAACAAGTCTTAAAGCATTAAAAAAATTGAAATCATGTCAAGCAGCTTCTCTGACCATAATATAATAAAATTAGAAATTAATAATAATAGGAATTTTGGCAATTATACGAATACATGGAAATTAAACAATATGGTCCTAAATAACCAGTGGCTCAATAAAGAAATTTTTAAAAAGTTGAAAATGTTTTAAACAAATGATAATGGGAACACACCATACCAAAATTTTAAGAGATACAGACAAAGTAATATTCAGAGAGGAGTTTATAGCTAAAAGAGCCTACATCAAAAAAGATAAAAACTTTATAAATAAACAATCTAATAATGCATCTAAGTATTAGAAAAGCAAGTGCAAACCAAACACAAAAGTAGTAGAAAAAAAAGATTGGAACAGAAATAAATGAAATTGAAATGAAGAAAATAATAGTGCAAGATCAATGAAACAAATGTTGTTTTCTTGAAAAGTTAAAGAAAATTGAAAAGCTTTTAGCCAGACTAGCAATAAGAAGAGAAAATAAAAATAAATAAAATCAGAAATTTAAAAAAAAACATTACAACTAATACTGCAGAAATTCAAAAATTCATTAGTGGCTACTATGAGGAACTACATGCCAGTAAATTGGAAAATCTAGAAGAAATGGACATATTCTTAAACACATACAACTTACTAAGATTGAACCAGGAAGAAATTCAAAACCTGAAATGACCAATAACAAGTAATAAGATCAAAGCTATAATAAAAAGCCTTTCAGTAAATAAAACCTAGGACCTGATGGCTTCACTGCTGAATTCTATGAAACATTTAAAGAAGAACTAATGCCAATGCTACTCAACCTATTCCAAAACTAGAATAGAAAGCAATACTTTCAACTTCATTCTACAAGGCCAGTATTACGTTGATACCAAAACAAGACAAAGACAAATAACAAAATAAGCTACAGGTTCATCAGTTATGATGAATATTGATGCAAAAATTCTCACCAAATACAAGCAAACAGAATTCAACAACACATTAGAAAGATCATTCGTTATAACCAAGTGAGATTTATTTCTGGGAAGCAAGAATGGTTCAACAAGTGCAAATCAATCAGTGTGATACATCTTATCCACAGAATGAAGATTTAAAGCATATTATTATTGGCTGGGCGTGGTGGCTCATGCCTGTAATCCCAGCACTTTGGGAAGCTGAGGCAGGCAAATCACGAGGTCAGGAGATCGAGACCATCCTGGCTAACACAGTGAAACCTCGTCTCTAATAAAAATACAAAAAATTTAGACGGGGGTGGTGGCGGGCACCTGTAGTCCCAGCTAGTCAGGAGGCTGAGGCAGGAGAGTGGCATGAACCTGGGAGGCAGAGCTTGCAGTGAGCCAAGATCGTGCCACTGCACTCCAGCCTGGGCAATGGAGCAAGACTCCATCTCAAAAAAAACACAAAAAACAAAAAACATATGGTTATTTAAATTGATAGTGAAAAAGTATTTGATAAAATTCAACATCCCTTCATGATAAAAACCCTCCAAAAACTGGGGATAGAAAGAGCGTACCTAAACATAATAAAAGCCATACATGACAGATTCATGGATGAATGAGGAAAAACTGAAAGCCTTTTCTCTGTTAAAGCAAACTAAATATGGCCTGAGAAGGGCTTCGTACTTCTATATTTGAGTCACTGTGTATGAACTGCAACCTAACTTAATAGGTAGACAAGATTAAAGACATAACTTAGGAGTATGCACCTGTAACAATCACTGAGTCTTGGCCAATCCCAGCAGCCATACTTCAACCAGTCATATATGGCTGAATGTTCAAACTGTGCTCTAATAAGGCAAATGCCGAGCTGTAACCAATACAGCTGTTTCTGTACCTCACTTCCCATTTCTGCATGTCACCTTATTTTTTTTGTCTATAAATTTGTTCTGACCACGAGGCACTCCTGGAGTCTCTCTGGATCTCCTGTGATTCTAGGGGTTGCCCGATTTGCAAATTGTTCATTGCTCCTTTAAACTCCTTTAAATTTAATTTGGTTGAAGTTTTTCTTTTAACATCTCTAAGATCTGGAACGTGACCAGGATGCCCACTGTCATCACTGTTATTCCATATAGTACTGGAAGCCCTAGCTAGAGCAATTAGGCAAGAGAAAGACAAAAAGCATATGCAAATTGGAAACAAAGAAGTCAAATAATCCTCGTTTGCTGATTGTATGATCTTATATTTGGAAAAATCTAAATATGCTTCCAAAAAGCTATTAGAACTGATAAACAAATTCACTAAATATTCATATAGAAAATCAATATAGAATAACCAGTAGCATTCCTATTTGACAAGAGTGAACAATGGGAAAAAGACATTTAAAATCAGTAATTTCATTTACAGCAGCCAAAAATAAAATTAAGGTTCAATCAAGAATTTTATATCCATTTAAACTAAGCTTCATAAAAGAAGAAGAAATGTTTTATTTTTTTCAGACAAGCAAATCCGAATGGAATTTATTACTACCAGACCTGCCTTACAAGAAGTCCTGAAAGGAGTGCTAAATATGGAAAGAAAAGACCATTTCCAGCCAATACAAAAATATACTTAAGTTCACAAATTATTGACACAAGAAAGCAACTACACAAACAAGTCTGCATAATAACTACCTAAAAACACAATGACAGAATCTATTCCACACATATTTGCTATGCTAGTTCAGATAAAAGATACTTTAAAGCAACAAAATTCAAAAAACGGGCCTTACATATCAGCAAAACTCTCAATTCAACAAAAAGACAAACTGCCCTAAATATATATGCACCCAACACAGGAGAATGAAGATTCATAAATCAAGTTCTTAAAAATGTATTAAGAGACTAAGCTCTTTGAGATGATAAACAATTTCAGCAAAGTTTCAGGATGCAAAATCAATGTACAAAAATCCTAGCAATTCTATACACCAACCACATCTAAGCTTAATGCCAAATCAAGAACACAATTCCATTCACAATAGCCACAAGAAGAAAAAATTTCTAGGTATATAGTTAACCAGGGAGGCAAAAGATCTCTAAAATGAGAATTACAAAACTCTACTCCAATAAATCAGAGGTGACACAAGCAAATGAAAAACACTTTGCACATTTATGGATAATAAGACTCAATTTTGTTAAAATAGCCATACTGCCCGAAGTAATTTGCAAATTCAATGCTATTTCTATCAAACTACCCCATGACATTCTTTGCAGAATTAGAAAAAAATGATTTTTAAAATTCACGTGGAGCCCAAAGAGAGCTTGAATTGCCAAAGCAATTCTGAACAAAAGGAAAGGAGCTGGAGGTGTCGTGTTACCCAACATCAAACTATACTACAATGTTATTGCAAACAAAACAACATACATGGTATTTGGTTTAAAAAGACACATAAACCAAGGGAACAGAATAGAGAGTCCAGAAATAATGCCACATACCTACAACCATCTGATAGTCAAAAAGGCTGACAAATAAAAAGCAATAGGAAGAGGAATTTCTATTTTATAAATGGTGCTGGAATAACTGGCTAGCCTATGCAGAAGATTGAAACTGGACTCCTTCCTTACACTATGTACAAAAATTAACCCAATTTGGATTGAAGATCTAAGTGTAAAACCTAAAACTATGAAGAAACTGAAAAATAACCTAGGCAATACCATTCCGGACATAGGACCTGACAAACATTTTATGATGATCATTCCAAAAGCAATTGCAAAAACAACAAAAATTGAAAAATGAAACTTAATTAAACTAGAGAGCTTCCACACAGCAAAATAAACTATCAAGGGAGTAAACAGACAACCTAAAGAATGGGAGAATATACTTGTAAACTATGCATCTGACAAAGGTCTAATACCCAGAATACATAAGGAACTTAAACAATTCAACAAGCAAAAACAGCCCCATTAAAAAGTGGGCAAAACATATGAACAGACACTACTCAAAACCAAAAAGATATACATATGGCAAATAAGCATATCAAAAATGCTCAACATCACTAATCATTAAAGAAATGCCAATTAAAACCACAATGGGATACCATTTCACATCAATCAGAATGGCTATTAATAAGAAGTCAAAAATAATAGATGCTGGCGTGGCGGTGAAGAAAAGGAAATGCACTGATGATGGGAATGTAAATTAGTTCAGCTATTGTGGAAAGCTGTTTGGCAACTTCTCAAAGAACTCAAAGGAGAATTGCCATTCAACCCAGCAATTTTCTTATTAGTTATATACTCAAAGGAATATGTTGTTCTACCATAAAGACACATGAACATGTATGTTTATTGTAGCAACTTTTAAAATAACAAAAATATGGAATCAGCCTAAATGCCCCTGAAGGGTGCACTGGATAAAGGAAATGTACTAAATGTACACCATGGAATACTATACAATGATAAAAAGAATGAGATTGTGTCTTTTGCAGATGTGTGGATGAAGCTGGAGTTCATTATCCTAAGTGAACTCGCATGTAAACAGAAAATCAAATACCACATGTTCTCACTTACAATTTGGAGCTCAACACTGAATACATATAGACACAAAGAAGGGAACAAAGGACACTAATACCTACTTGATGGTGGAGGGAAGGAGTAGGGTGAGGATTAAAAAACTACTTGTCTTATGCTATGCCTATTACCTGGGTGGCAAAATAATGTGTACAACAAACTCTTGTGACACAATTTACCTATGTAACACACCTGTACCTGTACCCTTCAATCTAAAATACAAGTTTAAAAAGAACTTGAAAGCCAAAATAACTCTTTGATCTATTGTTTCCAAAATGAATATTGTTTTAATAGGAATCAAAGCAACATTACACTCTGTACATCTCCATCAGAGCTCTTGGGTGACCAGGTGCACTGACAATGAGAAGTAACATTTTGAAAGGAATCTTTGTTTTCTGAGAAGAGGGTGTCAACAGCGGGCTCAAAATATTCGGTGAACCATGCTGTAAACAGATGTGCTGTCATCAAGGCTTCATTGTTCCTTTTACAGAGCACAGGCAGAGTCAATTTAGCATAATTCTCAAAGGTCCTAAGTTTTTTAAAATGGTAAATGAGCATTGATGTTAACTTAAAGTCGCCAGCTGCATTAGGGTCCTAACAAGAAAGTCAGTCTGTGCTTTGAAGCTTTAAAGCTGGATATTAGCTTCTACCCTAACTACTATAAAAGTACTAGGTAGCATTCTTTTAAATCAATATAAGGCTGTTTTTTCTACTTTGAAAATCTGTTGTTTACTGCAACCGTATTTATCATTTATCTTAGCCAGATCTTCTGGAGAACAAAATGCTTCCTGCTTCATCTTGCACTTTTATGTTATGGAGATGGCTTCTTTTTTAAACACCTTAAGCCAACCTCTGCCAGCTTTAAACTTTTCTTCTGCAGCTCCCTTACCTCTCTCAAAATAAAGAGATTTAAAACCATGCTCTGGATTAGGGTTAGGTTTAGGGGAATGTTGTGGTTGGTTTAATCTTCTATCCAGACCACTGAAGCTTTCTCCATATCAATGATAAGGCTATTTCACTTTCTTATCATTTGTTTATTCAGTGGAAAGCACTTTGCATTTCCATCAAGACCTTTTGCTTTGTCTTCACATCTTGGCTAACTGCAAAAGAAGCCCAGTTTTTGGCCAATCTTTACTTCCAGCCATGTCTTCTTTTCTGGTCATAAGTATTTCTAGCTTTTGACTTAAGGGGAGAGATGTGCAAATCTTTCTTTCAACTGAATACTTTCAGGCCATTGTAGGGTTATTAAGTGTCCTCATTTCAATATTGCTGTGACTCAGAAAATAGGGATGCCTGAGGACAGGTACAGAGATAGGGTACAGCCAGTCAGTGGAGTGTTCATAACACCCACAGTGTTTATCAATTAAATTCAGCATCTTATTTGGGGGTGGTTTAGGGCAACCCAAAACAATTAGAATAGCAACATCAAAGATCACTGATTACAGGTCATCATAAAATATAATAATAATAAAAAGTTTGAAATATTGCAAGAATTACCAAATGTGACACAGAGATATAAAGTGAATGTGTGCCGATAAAACATTGGCACCATAATACAATAATTTTAACTCACATAAATTAGACATTTGCTCAACTTTAACTTGGTTTTTTATGTTAAACAATAACACCTTATAAGTTTTTTTTTAGTTTCACATCTAAATAACTCTTTAGATGTCTGCTTTTTAAACATTCAGTACTAAAATACAAATAATGTCTTTATAGACACAAAAATTTATAGATTCAGAGAGAGGGAGATTATGATGACCAAATAGAAGGTTCCACTGATCATTCCTAACACAAGAGCACCAAATTTGACAACAAAAAAAAGCACCTTCATAAGAATAAAAAATTAAGTGATCTCTCACAGTACCTGGTTTTAACTTCATATGACTAAAAGAAGCACTGAATAGGGTCTTCAGTGACCCAGGGAAAAGACAGTGTCGAATTGCTAATGCCACTCTTTCCACATCCCCCAGTGTTGGCCATGTTGCTCAAAGAGAACGTCTGTGGGCTTGGCAGAAGGACACTAAAGCCAATTGTGAGACATTGCACTGAACTCAGTGCTGCCTCATCACAGTAGAATGCAAAGCTGGGATGAATTCAGCTGATGGTCACCATAGAGAAAGTATTCAAAACAGTCTTAACCAGAGGGGAATCACTCATCCCCTTGATCAGAACTTTACTTTTGGCAAGCCTTGTCACCAAAAGCTAGAGTGTTGTGGGTCTCTAAGGAAACATGAAAGGTAGTCTAGGCCACAAGGACTGCAACTACTAAGCAAGCCATGGTGTAGGATTAGACTCAGAGCCCGGAAACTTTGGGAAGTGTGACCTAGTGAGACATCAGCCAAAGCAACTAAGAAAGTGGTTGTGCCATCCCTTCCCCAACCAGAGATAGCACAGTTTTTGGCTCCAATAGTGTCCCCTTTATTCTGCTTGAGGAGAGAAGAGGAAAGAGTAAAAACCATATTGTCATGCATCTTGGATACCAGTTCAGCCACAGTAGGATAGGGCACCAATCATATTTGAGATATCCCTTTTCTAGGCCCTAGCTCCAGGATGACTTTTCTAGGCACACCCTGGACCAGAAAAGAACCCACTTCCTTGAAGGAAAAGATCCAGTCCAGGCAAGAAAACATCAACTAATGAGCCACTGAGCCCTGAAAAACCAGCAGTAATACTCAGCTAGTACACCATGGGCCTTGGGTGAGCCTCTTAGACTTACTGGCTTCAGGAGAGACTCAGTACATTCCCAGCTGTGGCTGCTATAGTTAGAGATTCCATCTCACTGAGAAATGCATAAGGAAACATAAAGGGGACCTTGTTTTGCATCTTAGGTACCAGGTTGGACATGGGGTGGGGGCGGGCACTATGTGGGCAGTTGGGATGATCTATTCCAGGCATTGGCTTTTGGATGACATTTCTGGGCTTCCCCTGTGCCAGAGTGAAGCCCACTGCCTGAAAGATGAGTCCCAGGTCAGGCAGCAATCACCATCAGCTGACTAAAAAGCCCTTTGACCTTAAGTGAACATTGGCGGTAGCCTGGCAGTACTGCCTGTGGGCCTGTGGTGGTGGTGGACATGCGGTGAGGCTCCTCTGCCTGTGGAAAGCTTAGAGAAGAGCGGGGAAAACTGGATCTTCTGATTTGACTGCCAGCTCAGCTGCAGTACAATAGAACACTAGGTAGACTTCTTTAGTCCCTTGCTCCCAAACAGCACCTCTAGACCCTTTCAGAGAATGATGGAACTCACAACCCTGAATGCCCTGAATGGAAATACACAAGCCTGGCTGGCTTTGTCACCTGTTAATTGTAGAGATCCAGGACCTTCAGTGAACATAAGCAGCAGCTGAGTAATGGTTACAGTGGGCCTTGGGTCAGACCCAGTGCTCTGCTGGCTTTAGCTCTGACACAGTGCAGACCCAGTGGTGAAGGCCCAGCTCAAGGCAGCTCAGAAAAGAGAAAGTTACTCTATTTGTTTGGTCCAAGCAGAATCTAGAAAATATACTCAAAAGGAAAAATCTCGGTTGTCCTTGAAAAGAAAGCAGAAAAAGAGATGGGGTATAAACTGTATTTAATGGAGTTATAACAGAGGACTCCTGAAACCTAGAGAAAAATATTAATACCCAAGTACAAGAAGGTTATAGAATACCAAGCAGATTTAGCCCAAAGAAGACTATCTCAGGGCATTTAATAATCAAACTCCCAAAGGTCAAGATTAAAGAAAGGATTTTAAAAGCAGCAAGAGAAAAAAGTAACATACAATGGAACTCCAATACGTCTGGGTAATAAAATTTTCAGTGGAAACCTTACAGACCAGGAGAGAGAGACATGAGATATTTAAAGTGCTGAAGGAGAAAAAAATACTTTTACCCTAGAATAATATATCTCATAAAAAATCTTTAAAATGTAAAGTAGGAACAGACTCTTCAAATAATCAAATGTTGATGGATTTCATCAAAGTAGACCTATCGTACAAGAAATCCTAAAGGAAGTATTTAAATCAGAAGGAAAAGGAGGGCATTACTGATCAAGAAGAAATCATCTGAAAGTACAAAATTCACATGTAGTAGTAAATACACAGAAAAGCACAGACTATTATAACACCGTAACTGTGATGTGAAAACTAATATTAAGTAGAAAGAAAAAGGATAAACCAATCAAAAATAATAACTAAAACAACTTTTAAAGACATCAACAGTACAGCAAGATACAAATGGGAACAACAAAAATTAAAAAGAAGGTGGATTAAGGAAAGATGTAGAGCTTTCATTAGTTTTTTTTTTTTGCTTGTTCATTTGTTTGCTTACACAGTGTTAAGTTGTTATCAGGTAAAAATAGTTGTATATAAGAGAGTATTTTGAAGCCTCATGGTAATCTAAAACCAAAAGACATATGACAGATACACAAATAAAAAGCAGAAAATTAGATCATACCACTAGAGAAAATCATCATTGGTAAAATAAGAAGAAAGGAAGTGAAGAAGAAAGAGAAGACCAAAAAACAACCAGAAAACAAATAAGAAAATGGCAGGAGTAGATTCTAACTTATCAATAATAACATTGAATATAAATGGACTAAGCTCTCCAATTAAAAGTCATAGGCTGGCTGAATAAATATAAAAACAATATCAATTGATTTTTCTCTTAAAAGAAATACATTTCTCCTATAAAGACACAGCTAGACTGACAATAAAGGGATAGAAAAATATTTCATGCATATGGAAAACAAAAAAAGCAGGTGTCACTATACTTATATGAGACAAAATAGGCTTCAAGACAAAGACTGTAAGAGACAAATAAGTCACTATATTATGATAAAGGGGTCAATTCAGCAAGGGATATTATAATTTTAAGTATACATATGCCCAACATTTAGACACCCAGATATATAAAGCCAATGCCATTAGAGCTGCAGAGAGAAATAGATACCAATACAACAATAGCTAAAAACTTCAAAATCCCACTTTCACTCTTTAGCAGATTCTCCAGACAGAATATAAGCAAATGAATTTTCAACATAATAGTAACTATAGATCAAATAGACCTAATAGAACTTTTCAGAACATTCTATCCAACGGCTGTGGAATACATATTTTTTTCCCCTCAGCACATTGATCATTCACAAGAATGACAGTACATTAGGTAACAGAACTAATCTTAAAACATTAAAAAAATTGAAATAACATCAAGCATCTGCTGTGACCACAATGGAATAAAAACTACAATCAATAACAAAAGGAATTTCAAAAATTACACAAATATATAGAAATTAAACAATATGCTCCTGAATGACCAGTGGGTCAACAAATAAGAAGAAAATTGAAAATTTTCTTGAAACGAATGATAATGGAAGCACAACATACCCAAACCTATGGAATACAACAAAAGCAGTACTACGAGAGCTGTTTATGGCAATACGTGCCTACATCAAAAAAGAAGAAAAAAATAAAATAACCTAACAGTGCATATTAAAGAACTAGGAAAGCAAGAGCAAACCAACCTAAAATTAGAAGAAAAAAATAAAAATCAGAGCAGAAATAAATGAATTTGAAATATAGCAAAGAATGCCAATATTCAACAAAACAAAAAAAGTTGTTTTTTTGAAAAGTTCAGCAAAACTGACAAACCCTGAGCCAGACTAAGAAAAAAAGGAGAAAACCCAATTAAAGTCAGTGGTGGAAAAAAGACATTACATCTGATGATACAGAAATTCAAATAATCGTTAGTGGATACTACGAGCAACTTCATGTCCTATATTACAAGAAATTGGAAAATCTAGATGAAATGGATAAATTCTTAGACATAAGTAACCTACCATTATTGAACCAGAAAGAAATCTAAATCTTGAACAGACCAATAACAAGTAATGTAATTGAAGTGGTAGTAAAATTTCTCTCAGCAATGAAAAAGTGAGGACCTAATGGCTTCACTGCTGAATGCTACCAAACAATTAAAAAACTAATGACAATAGTGCTCAATCTATTCTGAAAAATAAAGGTGGAGAGAGTAGTTCCAAACTGTATTACCTTAATACCAAAACCAGACAGAGACATATCAAAGAAATAAAACTATAGGCCAATATAACTGATGAATATTAATGCAAATATCCTCAAAAAGTACTAGCAAACAAATTTCACCAATATATTAAAAAGATCATCCATAATTACCAAGTAGGATTTATCCCAGCCATGGGAGAATGGTCCAGCATATACAAATCAATTAATGTAATACATCATATAAACATAATAAAGAGCAACAATTATAAGGTCATTTCAATTCATGCTGGAAAACTAATACAATTCAACATCCCATTGTGATTAAAACCCTGAAATAACTGGGTATAGAAAACAGATACGTCAATATAATAAAAGCCATATACAACAGACCCACAGCTAGTATCATACTGAATGGGGAGAAGCAAATTCTTTCAAATAAGATTAGGAAATGACAAGGAAGCCCACTGTCACCACTGTTTTGCAACATAGTATTGGAAGTCTTAGCTAGAGCAATCAGACAAGAGAAAGAAATAAAGGACATCCAAATTCAAAAGGAAGAAGTCAAACTATTCTTGTTTTCTGATGATATGAGCTTATATTTGAAAAAAAGCTAGAAAATCCACCAAAAAGCTATTGGATCTGATAAACAAATTGAGTTAAGTTGCAGGATCCAAAATCAACAAACAAAAATACGTAGTATTTCTACATGCCAACAGTGAACAATCTAAAAAAAAATAAAGAATGCAATCCCATTTACAACAGCTATGAATAAAATAACTATGAATTAACTTGACCAAACAGGTGGAAAGAACTCTACAATGAAATCTATAAGCATTTGATATGGTTTGGCTGTGTCCCCACTCAAATCTCATCTTGAATTCCCAGGTGTTGTGGGAGGGACCGGATGGGAGGTAATTGAATCATAGGGTAGGTCTTTCCTGTGCTGTTCTCATGATAGTGTATAAGTCTCATGAGACCCGATGATTTTAAAAAGGAGAGTTTCCCTGCACAAGCTCTCTTCTCTTCTCTGCCATCATGTGAGACATGCCTTCCAACTTCCACCATGATTGTGAGGCCTCCCCAGCCACATGGAAATGTAAGTCCACTGAAGCTCTTTCTTTTGTAAATTGCCCAGTCTCTACTATGTCTTTATCAGCAGTATGAAAACAAACTAATACAGCATTGATGCAAGAAATTGAAGAGGACACAAAAATATGTAAAGATATTTCATGCTCGTGGATTGGAAGAATCCATATTGTTAAAATGTTCATACTACCCAATGCAATCCACAGATTCAATGCAATCCCTATCAAAATCTGAATGGCATTCTTTACTGAAATAGAAAAAAAAAATTCTAAAATGTGTATGGAACCAGAATAATCAAAGCTCTCCTGAATAGAAAGAACAAAACTAGATAAATTGCTTTATCTGACTTTACACTAAAGTGCTAAAGTAACAGGAACAGCATGGTACTGGCATAGAAACAGACACATAGATCACTGGAACATAATCAAAACTCAGAGATAAACACCATACATCTACAGTGAGCTCATTTTGACAAAAGTGCCAAGAACATGCTTTGGGGAAAGGCCAGTCTCTTCAATAAATCGTGCTGGAAAAACTGGATATCCATATGCAAAGAATGACACTAGACTTCTATCTCTTTCCATATAAGAATCAAATCAAAATGGATTAAAAACATAAAACTAAGGCCTCAAACTATGAAACTCCAGAAGGCCGTGTATGCTCTGAATCAGCGTTCGATATATAGTACTGTTTCTCCCATAGCCAGGATTCACGGGTCCAGAAATCAAGGGGTGGAAGTGGAAGTGGTATCACTCACCATCACCCCTAGTGATCCACTAGCAAAATATTTCCTTCCTGTTCCCGTGACATTATGTTCTGCTGGTCTAGAGGTCTTAGTTCCAGAGGGAGGAACGCTGCCACCAGGAAACACAACCACGATTCCATTAAACTGGAAGTTGAGATTGCCACCTGGACACTTTGGGCTCCTCTTACCTTTAAGTTGACAGGCTAAGAAGGGACTTACAGTGTTCGTGGGGGTGACTGACTTGGACTATCAAGATGAAATCAATCTACTACTTCACAACAGAGGTAAGGAAGAGTATGCATGGAATACAGGAGATCCATTAGGGCATCTCTTAGTGTTACCATGCCCTGTGATTAAGGTCAATGGAAAACTACAACAGCCCAATCCAGGCAGAGCTACAAATGGCCCAGACACCTCAGGAATGAAGATTTGGGTCACTCCACCGGGAAAACAAACAAACAAACAAACAAAATGACATACTGAGGTGCTTGCTGAAGGCAACGGGAATACAGAATGCATAGTAGAAAAGGTAGTCTTCCATACCAGCTATGACCACATGACCAGCTGCAGAAATGGGGACTGTAATTGTCATAAGTATTTCTTCTTTCTTTTTCTGAAAACATGTTTGTGTATCTATACACTTGTACTAAGAAAATATCTTTATTTTATTTCCTTCCCTTTTATCATGTGACATAAGATTTATTGACTTCATATCAGCATTTAAGTGTTGTTAACCCTATGTTATAATATTTGGGTTGGATATTGGTGCATTTCCAATTGTAGGAAGGATAGCTGTATTATGTTAGGTGTAATTATGACCTTATTATTGTCTTTATTTGAAGATTATGTATGATTTCAGGAGATGTGTGTGGGTTCAAGTTGACAAGGGGTGGACTTGTGATGGTTAATACTGAGTGTCAACTTGATTGGATTGAAATTATTGATCCTGGGTATGTCTGTGAGGGTGTTTCTAGAAGCGATTAACATTTGGGTCAGTGGGCTGGGGAAAGTAGATCCACCCTTAAGCTGGGTGAGCACAATCTAATTAGCTGCCAGGAATGTAAGGCAGGCAGAAAAACATGAAATGGAGAGATTTGCCTAGCTTCCCAGCCTACGCCTTTCTCTACAGAACCCTGACTAATACAGCCACAGCCACCTTGGCTAGTGTCTCAGTAGGTTACATGCCATTGCTTTCCACTGTCTCTGGGCCCAGTTCAGCACTAGGACTCTCCTAGGAATTGTACTCCTTTAGTCCCAGGGTGTCTTTAAGTTCATTTAGTGCCCAGAGCACTCTAGCTCCTGGTGGTGTGGCTTGCAGTAATTGAAGTTCTGACCGCTGGGATTGGCAATTCTCCTCTGGCAAGAGGCAGTTTAAATGCTCTTTTTGTGGGTGGGCATAAGCTGAGTTTAGTCCAGTTTTCCTTTCTGCTATAAAAGAACAACACTGAGTACAATGCCTCACAATTGATGAGCTCATCCTCCTCAGTACACAGAAATGCTCTCTGCAGCATGATGCTCTTGCTGGGTGGTGGGGGAGGGTTGGTGCTAAGGATTCAAAATGTTTTTTGTTCCTACCTCTTCAGTGCCTCTTTCAGCAACATGAAATTAAAACCAAGTACAGTGAGTGTTCACCTGATTTTTGGTTCTTACAAAGGGGCCTTTTATATGTGGATAGTTGTTAAACTGGTGTCCTTGCAGAGGGGCTGATGGGTGGAGTCTTCTATTTTGCCATTTTGCTCCACCTCCTCTTCCAGTAACTATATTTTCTATATTCAGTTATTCACAATACTGAGAAGGAAGAAAAGACTAAAAAAAAAACTACCATTTTTTAAATGATAATAAATTAAAGAAGATATAAATTAAATGGAATACACACCGCATTCATGAATTCAAAGACTCAGAATAGTTAGATGTCTATTCTTCCAAATGTCTAAGTAGGTTTAATGCAATTCTGGTAGAAACTGCAGGAGGATTTTTGTAGATATAGACAAAATTATTCTAAAATATATTGGAAATGCAGAGAAAGTAGAATATTTAAAATGAGTTTGAATAAAAATAATAGATTTGTAGGAATTCATCTAATGAATTTTAAGACCTGTTATATAGGTACAATGATAGAAACTGTGTGTCATCAGTGGAGGATAAAACATACAGCATCAATGGAACAGAACACAAAATTCAAAAACAGATCACCACAAAATAAGCCAATGTCAAAATGTCACATTGTATGTGATCCCATGTATATAACGTTCTCAATATGACAACATTACAGAGATGGTGGACAAATTAGAGGTTGTGTAGATTTTGGAGGTAGCATGAAGGACTTGAGTGCAATTGTTACAAAGGGGTATCATGACAGATGTCTTTGGGTTGATAGAATAATTCAATATTTTGATTGTTGTAGAAGTTACACAAATGCATGCATGCGTTAAATTAACATAGGACTATACACTTAAATTGTACCAATGTCTATTTCCTGGTTGTGATATTACGCTATAACTATGCAAGATGTAACAATGTGGGGAAACTTGATGAAGGGTACATGGGGCTTCTCTGTACTATCTTGGCAAATTACCATGAATTTATAATTATTTTAAAATTAAAAAGAAATACTCGCACCAAAAAAACTTCAAAAAATAACAGTACTAAAATGCAGATAAATGCACATTAAATCAATAGAAATAAAGCCATATACATTACAGGAAATTTCATTTTGCTCTGCACAAAAATCAAACATAAAAACAGGGGGCTTAGTCCTGTCCTTATCAAAATGAGATAAGCCGCACAAGGTAGCATTAGTGGTTTTCTTGTAAATACTGAAGATATGCTTCCTGATCTTAGAAGGCAGGATTTTGCTTAGAAATAAGCCTTTTGTGGCTTTTTTTCACCATGGCCATTAGCTAAATATTAACGTGCACCCCTTACAAACTCTTATTCTTTAATCCTTTTAAAAGTTCAGGTTGTTTGGTTCTATGTGTATATTTCCTGTGATAAATAAATATAACAAAATCTTAATTTTTAAAATGCACTTGCATTTTTTAGTAGATTATGGTTCTCAATTCACATAGGTTCATGGGAAAATATATTCTTTATTAATTGATTTATAACTTTGCTGTAACCTTCACAATCTTAACTGTAAATCAATGGTGAGCCACCCTTGCAGTATATCTGAGCTCAGTATGACCTATTTCTGCAATCCTTTCTTTACTGATTAAGATGTGATTCTCCAATTGTATAAGTTACTGAGGAGCTCAAGAATCAGTATAAACATTAACACCAGACTCTATAATCTATGCTTACTTCCTCTAATAGTAAAATCTTTTAATTTTTTCTGCTTCCACAGCTGCCACAAATATTTTAAATTCTTTTTTAATATCCATTATAGTGAATCTTCTGTATCTGAATATTTTTATTTGAATGCTAATATCAGTCTATGGAATCTGTTGTGTATATTAAAAAATTCATATTTCTGGCAGGGCGTGGTGGCTCATGCCTGTAATCTCAGCATTTTGGGAGGCTGAGGTGGGCAGATCATGAGGACAAGAGATTGAGACCATCCTGGACAACATGGTGAAACCCGGTCTCTATTACAAATACAAAAATTAGCTGGATGTGGTGGTGCGTGCCTGTAGTCCCAGCTACTCGGGAGGCCGAGTCAGGAGAATCGTTTGAACCCAGGAGGCGGAGGTTGCCATGAGCCAAGATCGCGTGGCACTGCACTCCAGCCTGGCAACAGAGTGACACTCTGTTTCAAAAAAAAAAATATATATATATATATAGATAGATTATATATATATGTGTGTGTATATATATTATATATATATGTGTATATATATAATATATATGTGTGTATATATATTATATATATGTGTGTATATATATTATATGTATATGTGTGTATATATATTATATATGTGTGTATATATATAATATATATGTGTGTATATATATAATATATATGTGTGTATATATATTATATATGTGTGTATATATAATATATATATGTGTATATATATTATATATATGTGTATATATATAACATATATGTGTATATATATAATATATATACGTGTATATATATTATATATATGTGTATATATAATATATATGTATATATAATATATATGTATATATATTATGTATATATGTGTATATATATATTATATATATGTGTATATATATTATATATGTGTATATATATTATATATGTGTGTATATATATTATATATGTGTATATATATTATATATGTGTATATATATTATATATGTGTATATATATTATATATATGTGTATATATATAATATATATGTGTATATATTATATATGTGTGTATATATATTATACATATGTGTGTATATATAATATATATGTGTATATATATTATACATATGTGTGTATATATAATATATATGTGTATATATATTATATATGTATATATAATATATATGTGTATATATATTATATATGTATATATAATATATATGTGTATATATATTATATATGTATATATAATATATATGTGTATATATATTATATATATTATATATTATACATGTGTATATATATTATATATGTATATATATTATATATGTATATATATTATATATGTATATATATTATATATGTATATATATTATATATATGTGTATATATATATTTCCTTGAAACAATATCTTACGTTTTCATTTTCTGATTTCATAGAAATGCTATCTTTAAAGCAATAAGAATGTGTTTTTCCTAAAAATGATACAGTAAATAACAATTTGAATATAAGCTAAAAAGGAAAACCAGTTTTCAGCATAATTTTGTACTAAAATTCTTAATTGCTGTCCTAGTATCAGAGTATTTTCTAAGATCTTTATATTTCTAGATTGCCATTATTGTAAACTAGCAGGAGGATATACCATTTTGATGTAATTATTTTGATGCAGCTATTTAATTCTAGTACATTTTAAGGAGACTTAAAATATCGAAACATTTGGCTGTTTGTCATTAAAAAAATTAAATTTGAAATACAAAATCTTACCACATCCCACATCCCCTTGAGCTTTATTTGCCCTAAGATTTTCAAGGAAAGTTGAGTGTGGTTTACTATATGGCAATTAAAACACATATCACCATACTTTTTGATCACAGAAAGGATTATTGAACATTTTAAGCAAATAGTCTTTTCTTATTCTCCTAGAATCTACTTGTGTCTTAAATGCCCTGATTTTCCCTCAATCTATCTGAATAAAATAGTTGGCCAAAATATTTTAAAAAGGGAGTTCATTACATTACATTACGGAAGAAAGATTGACAAAATAGGGCCCACAAGTATGTATATGTTCCTGCATCAAATTTAGTTTTAAAGATACACGTTTATTTATGTAATAAACCTGCACAGTCTGCACATGTATCCCAGAACTTAAAGTAAAATGAAACATAGAAATAAAAAAGATAAAATTGAAAAATCTACAAGCATAAAAGCAGTAAAGAAAGCTAATACTTTACCTGCAAAAGAACCGGTCATGTGGTTTTAGATTTCTCAGCAACAATAAACCTTTCTTGTGTAATGACAAATTAAAAGCCGTATTCAGATGGGCACAGGCTTTGTGAATGTATCACTCACATGACCTTTATACAAATAATTATGCAAAGACATATTCTAACTGAATAAAAAATAATTGAACATTAACAAGTCAAGAAAGGAAAAGTAGTATAAAATGACAAGTGGTAAATCTCTAAATCAATCAACCATATAAGATTAAATATAAATTATGCTGTCAACATGACAAAAATAAATGAATGCAAAAAGTAAAATCTTGAAGAGTTACATGGTAAAACCAGTAATTGTTCCAGAATTGGTTTACCCTCCCTGATTAAATGAACATAACTCAGAAAATGGAAAGATGAGGGTAGATATACAAATGTTCTAAGTCATTCATAATAATAAATATGATACTGACATCTTTAGTGCTTTCCTCCGAAATGAGTTGTAAATCTGGTAATTTCTACACAAACTAATCACATTCAATTTTTAAATAATAATACGTTGTGAAAAATTGAAATTAACTATTGGTGGCTCTTAATCTAATATATTCAGTGTCCTTTATTGGAATAAATAAGACAAATTAATAATGGGCAAGCCTTCACCAACTTTTGATATAATTATAGATTTCAAACCAAACTTGGAGGTTACTCAGTTCAGTCTCCTACATGATGTCTAGTTTTCCTCTTTACTATTACTTTGTCTTAATAAAATGTATTTTGTGGTGGTTAATATTGTATGTCAAATTGATTGGATTGAAAGATGCAAAGTATTGTTCCTGGGTGAGTCTTGAGGGTATTGTCAAAGGAGAGTAAGATTTGAGTCAGTGGAGTGGGAGAGGCAGACCCACCCTCAATCTGGGTGGGCACCATCTAATCAGCTGCTAGTGCAGCTAGGATAAAAGTGGGCAGAGGAACGTGGAAGAACTAGACTGGCTTAAGCTTCCGGCCTCCATCTTTCTCCCGTGCTGGGTGCTTCCTGCCCTTGAACATCAGACTTCAAGTTCTTCATCTTTGAGACTCTCGGAACTTCAACTGAAGACTGAAGGCTGCATTTTTGGCTTTTCTACTTTTGAGGTTTTGAGACTTAGACTGGCATCCTTGCTCCTCATCCTTGCTCATAATGTGGGACTTCAGCTTGTGATCATATGAGTCAATACTCTTTAGTAAACTCCCCTTTATATATCCATCGATCCTATTAGTTCTGTCCCTTTAGATAACCCTGGGTAATACATATTTATTTTTGAATAATTCAACTTGGTGCACAAATTGACAGTTGTAGTAATGAAATCACACTGAAAACATTACTATCTGCCTGAGTCTAGTCCTTAAATTGATAGTTCTATAAATACAGGAGCAGTATTAAATATTGCTCATGTGATGAGGCTGCCATCTTAAGACTAAATTGTATTCTTCCCTAGATTTTAAAAATACTAGAAAACTGTCATTATTTCTATGCCAACCACTAGTCTCCCCATTACCTAGAGCAGGATTTCTAAAATATTCTGATGAAAACATGCATTAGGAGGCCCATCTTAGAATAAGAATTTGTTTTACTGTTACTGCCTCAAGGTCTTCTATAGCACTTGTGGATTCTGTCAGGTCCCTCTGCTGTATCTTACTATATGAAGTTTTTTGGAAATGTGTTACACTAGTTTTTTAGATTCCTTTATTTGTTTAATATAATGAAAGTCAACACAGCTGATTTGTTCTTAAAACTCTAACTCAAAGAGTCCTCTTACGCAGTTTCCCTCATGCTGATGCTCTTTCCTTGAGTGACTCTTTGAGCTAGAGATCTGTCTGGAAAGGGATATTCTTTTTAGTTATTTATTTATTTATTGAGATGGAGTTTCCTTCTTGTTGCCCATGCAGGAGTGCAATGGCACGATCTCGGCTCACTGCCACCTCCACCTCCCAGGTTCAAGCGATTTTCCTGCCTCAGCCTCCCAAGCAGCTGGGATTACAGGCACCTGCCACCACTCCTGGCTAATTTTCTGTATTATTAGTAGAGACGGGGTTTCACCATGTTGGCCGGGCTGGTCACGAACTCCTGACCTCAGGTGATCCACCCGCCTTGGCCTCCCAAAGTGTTGGGATTACAGGCGTGAGCCACTGCACCCGGACTTATTTTATTTTATTTTTGAGACGGAGTCTTGTTCTGTTGCCCAGGCTGGAGTGCAGTGGTGCAATCTCGTCTCACTGCAAGCTGCATTTCCTGGGTTCAAAGGATTCTCCTGACTCAGCCTCCCAAGTAGCTGGTCCCACAGGTGCGTGCCAGCACTCCCAGCTAATTTTTGTATTTTTAGTAAGGACGGGGTTTCACCATGTTGGCCAGGTTGGTCTCGAACTCCTGAACTTAGGAGATGTGCCCGCCTCAGCCTCTCGAAGTGCTGGGATTACAGGCGGGAGCCACCGCACCCAGCCTTATTTTTATCTTTAGTGCTTACTTCCTTATATATTATTGGTAGAGGAAATTCTAAATACTCAATCATTACTCAAGGGTACCTACTGGCCCACACATATGCTTGGCCTAGCTCAGCAGAACACCTTTGAAATTGTAAAGTTTTGAATCCTAGTATGAGTTCATGAGATATATGCTTAACTTAAACACATAAATATTAAGTGCTGCTAGAAATATCTAAATATTATTTATATATGTTTAGAAACCTTATTTCAGAAATGAAAAGCAAAGAATGTCTACTAAATTAAACCAATTGTATTGTAACACATTTATAATACACTATGGCATACTTTTGCCGTGGATTATAAAATGTATGTGCCCTTTTAAAATTATTTCTATGCTTAATAATACAATTGTATACTCATTCCAAGTGAAAAGTTAAGTCTATTCTTATACTATTTCGATTATATTTTTCACAAGATACAGCAAAGTAAAGAGAAAGACAGGATGCACATTTTTTAGAATTTCTGTTATCATATGTTAGTCTACTTCAAATATTTTTCAGGTAAGTTTTATGAGAGTTTTGTTTTAGCTTTGAGTCTAATGTTTTATCAAGAAAATTCTCACTACTAATGAGCATAAGTGTAGAAACCAATAATTATCATTAGAGAGGAATAGTATAACATAGTACAACAGTGGATAGTTCCTAGAGTCTATGAAAAAGATATTTTAAATTAGTTCTGCAATTCAGATCAATTCAAAAGTCACTGGATATAGGAAATTAAATGAACTATATATTCTTCTTCAGTCATGGCCTCCAACTAAAGTTTTCTTTGTAAATATTTATGTTTTATCAACTGACAAAAACTTATGTCACATTTTTCTGTGCATTGATGGATTACTCATGTATAATTTCACACAAAAAATATACAGAGGATATATGTCTAAGCTGCCAAAAAAATGTGTCAAACCATTAGACAACAGAAGGGTAGAAACCATGAAAATTATGACAACCCTCAAGAAACTTTGAAATTTATTACCTGAAAGTCACTTTACGGTATCTCTGTATGAAAAAAAAAAAAGTTGTTTTCTGGATATCAACTTTTACCATGGTCTAGTTAGATAAGGTCAAATATAATTGACATGGTCAAAGGTAATTTAAATGATTAGAATGTTTTAATGGGATGAACTCTTACATAGTGCTATTTAGTGTTCTCTTTAGCATGTAATAACGATTTTGTTTTCAGTTGCCACACTTTGGATATGTGATACAGTCCCTGTGATATTTTCCTCAAGCAGTACAGCCTCATTGTTGCTACATAACAGTGAGTGTTAAACACTGAAATCCTTGTTTGCTTAATTGTTATTTTGGTTCAATACCTTTTACTAGTAGTATTGCTTAGCAAAATGCAATATAAGAACAAACCTTTTTCAGTAACTTTTTAAATTAATTTTAAACAATCAAATAAACAGAGTAATTCCTTAGACAAGACTTAGCTGATCATGGAATGACTACAAGGCGCAAGCATTCAGTTACCAAATCAGATCTTTTTTATGGTGAACAGAGAACTATATGCGTTGATGTGCAACAATTTTGAGAGCTTAACTAAAACTAGTACTTTAAATTATACACATTACTGTATATTTCAGTCAAAGTTTGATAGGCAAGCTCTATTTTTCTTTGTTTCTCCAGCGAATAATCTTACCAATATATGGTAACATGATTTTGTAAAATAGCGCTTGCTTTTTCATTTTACGGATGGAGCATTTTTTAAATTAAGAAAACTCTTTTCAGAGTTTGAAAGTTTCTTAAAAAATTAAACACACACCTATAGTATTAGTCAAGATTCTCTAGAGGGGCAGAACTAATGGAATATATATATATATATATATATATATATATATATATATATATATACACACATATATATATGTATATATATATGTGTGTATATATATATATATATATATATATAGTTTATTAAGTATTAATTCACATGATCACAAGGTCCCACAATAGGCTGTCTGCAGGCTGAGGATCATGGAGAGCCAGTCCGAGTTCCAAAACTGAAGAACTTGGAGTCCGATGTTTGAGGGCAGGAAGCATCCAGCATGGGAGAAAGATGTAGGCTGGGAAGCTAGGCCAGTTCTCTTTTCACGTTTTTCTGCCTGCTTATATTCTAGCCATGCTGGCAGCTGATTAGTTTGTGCCAACCCAGATTAAGGGTGGGTCTGCCTTTCCCAACCCACTGACTCAAATGTTAGTCTCCTTTGGCAACACTCTCACAGACACTCTCAGGATCAATACTTTGTATCCTTCAATCCAATCAAGTTGACATTCAGTATCAACCATTCCAAGTCCACCCCTTATCAACTTGAACCCATATACATCTCCTGAGATCATATATAATCTTCAAATGATGGCAATAATAAGGGCAACATTATGCCTTAACATGATACAAATATCCTTCGTACAACCAGGAACGTACCAATCCCCAACCCAAATACTATTACATAAAGTTAACAATTCTTAAATGCTGATGTGATGTCAGTTAATCTTATGTCACATGATGAAGGAGAAAGGAAATAAAATGAAGATGTTTTCTTAGTACAGGTGCATACATGCACAAACATGGTTTTACAAAAAGAAGTAGGAAATACTCATGACAATTACAGTCCTCGTTTCTGCAGCTGGTCATGTGGTTGTAGCTGGTATTGATGACTACTTTCTTCTACCACCCACTCTGTATTCCTTTTGCCTTCAGCAAGCACCTCAGCAGGTCATGTTTTCTTTTTCCTGGTAGAGTGACACAAATATTCATTCCTTAAGGGTCTGGGTCATTTGTAGTGCAGCCTGGATGGGGCTGTTGTAGCTTCCCATTGACCTTAATCACTGGGCATGGTGATATTAAGACATGCCCTAATAGATTTTCTGTATTCCATGCATACTCTTCTTTACATTCTTTGTAAAGTAGTAAACTGATTTCATCTTGAGAGTCCAAGTCAATCACCTCAGGCAACACTGTAACTCCCATCTTATTCTGTTGACTTAAAGGTAGGAGGAGCTCAAAGTGTCCCGGTGGCAATCTTAACTTCCAGTTTAATAGAATCATTGTTGTGTCTCCTGGTGGCAGCGTTCCTCCCTCTGGAACTAAGACCTCTAGGCCAGCATAATGTAATGTCTCAGGAACAGGAAGCAAAAATTTTGCTAGTGGATCTACAAGGGGTGATAGTGAGTGGTGCCATTTCCACTTCCACCCCTTAATTCCTGGACCTGTGAATGCTGGTTATGGAAGAAATAGTATCATATATTGGAAGCTGATTCAGAGCATACACGACCTTCTAGAGAACTTTGCCCCAGCCCTGCAAAGTATTGTCACCTAGTTGGTGCTATAATTGTTACTTCAATAAGCCATTTCACTGTTCTATCAATCCAGCTGCTTCAGGATAATGGGGAACAAGGTAAAACCAGTGAATTCCATGATCATGAGCCCACTGCTGCACTTCTTTAGCCATAAAGTGAGTGCCTTGGTCAGAGGCAATGCAGTGTTGAATACCATGATGGTAGATAAGGCATTCCATGAGTCCACAGATGGTAGTCTTGGAAGAAGCATTGCACGCAGAATAGGCAAACCTATATCCAGAGTAAGTGTCTATTCCAGTGAGGACAAGCCTCTGCACTTTCCATGATGGAAGATGTCCAATATAATCAACTTTTCACCTGGTGGCAGGCTGATCACCACGAGGAATTGTTCCATATCAAGGGATCAGTGCTGTTTTCTGCTGCTGACAAATTGGGCACTCAGTGGTGGCCATAGCCAGGTCAGCCTTGGTGAGTGGAAGTCCATGTTGTGGAGCCCATGTGTAATCTCCATCCCCGCCACCATGGCCACTTTGTTCATGGGCCCATTGGGCGATGACAGGGGTGGCTAGAGAAAGAGGTTTAGTGGTGTCCAGAAAATGGGTCATCTTATCCACTTGATTATTAAAATTCTCCTCTGCTGAGGTCACCCATTGGTGAGCACTCACATGGGAAACAAATATCTTCACAGTTTCTGGCCACTCAGAGATGTCCATCCATATACCTCTTCTTCAAATTTATTTGTCACCAATTTTCCAGTCATGTTTCTTCCAAGTCCCTGACCACCCAGCCAAACCATTGGCTACCGCCTATGAATCAGTATATAATCTCAAATCCTGCAATTTTTCCTTCAATGTAAAGTGCAGTACTCGCAGTTCTTCCCACTGGGAAGATTTCTCTTCACTGCTGTCTTTCAGGGATGTCCTAGAAAGCGGCTATAGTGCTGCAGCTGTCCACTTTCGGGTGATGCCTGAATATCGTGCAGAACCATCTGTGAACCAGGCCCTAGTCTTCTCTTCCTATGTCAACTGATAATGGGGAACTCTCCTTAAGGCCATTGGTGTAGGCTGGGAGAGAGAAGGCAGGGTAGTAGGAGTGGAGACCATGGGCATTTGAGCCACTTCCTCATGTAACTTATTTGAGTTCAGGACCTACTCAAGCCTGATCACATATATACCACTTCCATTTGATGATGAAATGCTTCTGTGCATGACCCAGTATATGGCTAGATGGGTCATAAAGCACCCAGTTCATGATAGGCAGTGGAGGTCTCATGGTGAATTGATGACTTATAGTCAAACATTCAGTTTCCACCAAAGCCCAGTAATAGTCAAAGAGCTGTCTCTCAAAAGGAAAGCAGTTATCTGCAGAAGATGGCAGGGCCTTGCTCCTAAAGCCTAGAGGCCTCCTCTGTGATTCACCTATGGGGGCCTTCCAAAGGCTCCAAACAGCATCTCTATCTGCCACTGACACCTCAAGCATCATTGGATCTGCTGGCTCATATGGCCCAAGTGGCAGAGCAACTTGCACAGCAGACTGGACCTGTTGCAGGGCCTTCTTCTGTTCTGGACTCCACTCAAAACTGGCAGCCTTTCGGGTCACTAAATAAATGGGCTGGGGTAACACATCCAAATGAAGAATGTGTTGCCAGCAAAATCCAAGTAGGCCCACTAGGCATTGTGCCTCTTTCTTGGTTGTAGGAGAGGCCAAATGCAGAAACTTTTCCTTCACTTTGGAAGGAATATCTTGACAGGCCCCACATCCCTGTACTCCTAGAAATTTTACTGAGGTAGAAGTTCCCTGAATTTTAATCATATTTATTTCCCATCCTCTGGCATGCAAATGTCTCATCAATAAGTCCAGTGAGTTTGCTACTTCTTGCTCACTGGATCCAATCAGCATAATGTCATCAATGTAATGAACCAGTGTGATATTTTGTGGAAGTGGAAAACAATCAAAGTCTCTCCAAATAAGATTATGACACAAAGCCAGAGTTGATATACCTCTGAGGTAGGACAGTAAAGTTATATTTTTGGCCTTGTCAGCTGAAGGCAAATTGCTTCCGGTGGGTCTTACAGACAAGAATGAAGAAAAAGGCATTTGCCAAGTCAATGGCTGCATACCAGATACCAGGAAATGTATTAATGTGTTCAAGCAATGAAACTGCAACTGGTACAGCAGCTGCAACTGGAGTCACCACTTGGTTAAGCTTATCTTAATCCACTGTCATTCTCCAAGACATTCTATCAATTCTCCAAGGCTTTCTATCATGTTCACTTCTAGGAACACCATGATCAATTAGCCAAAGCCAGAGCTCTACACAAGTCAGACTATTCTGATTGCTGCTTTGCCTCTGCTGTCCATTACAGTAGCTATGCCCACCTCGCCTTTGATGATTGAGTGCCACCACTTGGCCCCTGCCACCTCAGGATCCAAATATTTCTATTGTGTTTAAACTTTGTAGTTGAGTGACTGTGGTTTCCACCATTAGATGTGACATACAGAGAGGAGCAATTACAGGGCTCTTCAAAAATGCAGGTGCTACCCTCCCAAATCTATTTCACATGGCATTGCTCAAGGGCATATCTTCTGGACCTGGCCAGCTGGGATGAGTAGGTCTAAAGTGACTAATCCACTCCAACATCCCAATCTCCCTAAGCTTTTGGATCCCTTCCCTACATTAAACCAGGGGAGATTAGGCATTTCCACCTCTCTCACAGTGGGCCATCTTTTAATCCATATTTCAGGTAGCCAAGAAAATAAACTATTAGAACCTTTTTTAAACTCCCTGAGCTGCAACATTAAAAGCAGAGTCCCTACTTTGTGGGCCAAAGTCAATAAATTCAGCCTGATCCAACTCTATTTTCCTTCCACCATTGTCCCACACACTTAATATCCATTCCCATGCCTGTTCTCCAGATTTCTATTTATATAAATTAGAAAACTTAAGCTGTTTTTCATTTTTTTAGTGTAGCACACCTCTTCATAAGTCACACTTTCAACCTTACCTCTAGGGTCCCACCAGGACTTTAGTCTAGTTATATGCCTAGAAGCAAACAGAGGTTTTAGGGGTGGCTCTTGAAGAGAATCAACATTATCTTGCCTGGCAATTACCTCAGGGGAGGCCCTCACTGTTGCCTCAGACGGCGCAGGCTTTATCTCCTCAGACAGTGGTGGAAAGGCTGATGGCAGCGTGGGTCGTGGAGGGGATGTCGCCACTAATGGAGATGGGGAAATTGTTTCTTCTGGCACAAAAAGGTTCATCAGAGTTTACAAACTCAGTGTCCCCAGCTTCATCAAGGTCTTTCCACATGTCCCCATTCCAAGTTGCAGGGTCCAGTTTTTTTCCAATCAATGCCCTCACTTTAACAGTAGACACCTGGTGAGGCTGTGCTTGCACCTTTCATTGCAGGTCAGCCACTCACATGATAAGAGCTTGTGTCCGGTTTTTCACAATTTCAGCTCTTTCTCTGCAGGAGATAAGACTCTCACTCAAGGCAATCTTAGTAGATTGGAGGTTCAGTGTCTGCTTCTGAAGCCGGGAGGTAGAATCCCTGAGTTCATAATTTTCTTTCATCACTTTGTCCACTGAACTTAGGAGCAACCAACCAGCTTCAACATGTTCCTTCATTCTCCACATATGGTCAAAACTATTATGTATAGAGTGACTAAACTCTTTGCCTCTCATGAGCGGTGAATCAGGAGTGTCAAATGCATTTATTTTGCATAACTCTCTAAACAATTCATGCAGAGGACTATCAGTGTCCTTGATATTATTAGAAGTAGAGTCCTTAGCATTTTTTCGGTCTAATCATATTAACCAGCTAAGCCCAGAAACCCCAAAACCAATGACAGATCTCCATCCTTAATATTCTGTTCCTCCAGAACCACTCCTGGTACCCAAGTCTGTATTAGTCTAGGATTCTCTAGAAAGAACTAATGAAATATATACATACATACATACACACACACACACACATACATGGGGAGTTTATTAAATATTAACTCACATGATCACAAGTTCCCACAATAGGCCATCTGCAGGCTGAGGAGCAAGGAGAGCAAGTTTGAGTTCCAAAACTGAAGAACTTGGAATCCAATGTTTGAGAGCAAGAAGCATCCAGCACAAGAGAAAGATGTAGGCTGGGAGGCTAGGCCAGTCTCTTTTTTCACAATTTTCTGCCTGCTTATATTATAGCAGCACGGGCAGATGAATAGATTGTGCCCACCCAGATTAAGGGTGGGTCTGCCTTCCCCAAACCACTGACTCAAATGTTAATCTCTTTTGGCAACACCCTCACAGACACACCCAAGATCAACACTTTGTATTGTTCAATCCAATCAAGTTGACAGTATTAACCATCACACCTACCATATAATTCAGACATTCCACTTATAGGGATTTACCCAAGAGAAATAAAAGTATATGTTCATACAAATATTGGGACCTGATTGTTCAAAGCAGCTTTATTTTCAGTAGCCAAAACAAGAAAAGTCCCAAATTTCCTTTAACAAGTGAATAGATAAAGCTACAGTGGCATATCTATATAATGAGATACTTCTCAGGGACAAAAATGATTGTTAACACAAACAAGACCACGGATATATTTAAAAATAATCATGCACAATGAAGAAGCCACATTGAAAAAATGACACCTCACGCAATTTCATTTATATAAAATTCTAGAAAATGTGAACACACCTATAGTGAGAGACAACAGATGAGTAGTTTTGTGAGCACAGAGATGTGGGGAAGGTCCACAGAATGGAATTCAAAGGGACAAGAGAAAACTTTTGTGCAATGAATACATTCATTTCCTTGATTATAGTGATAGTTTCAGGATACATACATATGGCAAAATTTATTAAAGTTTATGCTTCAAATATGTGCAGTTTTCTATTATGCCTGAAGAAAGCTGTTTAAAATTTTAATAATAAAAATAACACTTTAAATTAAATCAAAATATTGCCTGAAAAAATGATCTTAGTCTATGAACCATTAGTTTCTTCTAAATGTTTTTCAGGCTATGTAAAGGAATAGATATATGATATATAATGTTTTGTTACTGAGTATACAGGTATCTTCAAGAGAAACATTGTTTAGAGCGGACATATCACTTTCATATTTTATTTATTTATTTTTCTTTTATTATTATACTTTAAGTTTTAGGGTACATGTGCACAATGTGCACGTTAGTTACATATGTATACATGTGCCATGCTGGTGTGCTGCACCAATTAACTCGTCATTTAGCATTAGGTATATCTCCTAATGCTATCCCTCCCCCTCCCCCACCCCACAACAGTCCACAGAGTGTGATGTTCCCCTTCCTGTGTCCATGTGTTCTCATTGTTCAATTCCCATCTATGAGTGAGAACATGTGGTGTTTGGTTTTTTGTCCTTGTGATAGTTTACTGAGAATGATGATTTCCAATTTCATCCATGTCCCTACAAAGGACATGAACTCATCATTTTTTATGGCTGCATAGTATTCCATGGTGTATATGTGCCACATTTTCTTAATCCAGTCTATCATTGTTGGACATTTGGCTTGGTTCCAAGTCTTTGCTATGGTGAATAGTGCCGCAATAAACATACGTGTGCATGTGTCTTTATAGCAGCATGATTTATAGTCCTTTGGGTATATACCCAGTAATGGGATGGCTGGGTCAAACGGTATTTCTAATTCTAGATCCTTGAGGAATTGCCACACTGACTTCCACAATGGTTGAACTAGTTTACAGTCCCTCCAACAGTGTAAAATTGTTCCTATTTCTCCACGTCCTCTCCAGCACCTGTTGTTTCCTCACTTTTTAATGATTGCCATTCTAACTGGTGTGAGATGGTATCTCATTGTGGTTTTGATTTGCATTTCTCTGATGGCCAGTGATGGTGAGCATTTTTTCATGTGTCTTTTGGCTTCTTAAATGTCTTCTTTTGAGAAGTGTCTGTTCATGTCCTTCGCCCACTTTTTGATGGGGTTGTTTTTTTTTTCTTGTAAATTTGTTTGAGTTCATCGTAGATTCTGGATATTAGCCCTTTGTCAGATGAGTAGGCTGCGAAAATTTTCTCCCATTTTGTAGGTTGCCTGTTCACTCTGATGGCAGTTTCTTTTGCTGTGCAGAAGCTCTTTAATTTAATTAGATCCCATTTGTCAATTTTGGCTTTTGTTGCCCTTGCTTTTGGTGTTTTAGACATGAAGTCCTTGCCCATGCCTATGTCCTGAATGGTAATGCCTAGGTTTTCTTCTAGGGTTTTTATGATTTTAGGTCTAATGTTTAAGTCTTTAATCCATCTTGAATTAATTTTTGTATAAGGTGTAAGGAGGGGATCCAGTTTCAGCTTTCTACATATGGCTAGCCAGTTTTCCAAGCACCATTTATTAAATAGGGAATCCTTTCCCCATTGCTTGTTTTTCTCAGGTTTGTCAAAGATCAGATAGTTGTAGATATGTGGCATTATTTCTGAGGGCTCTGTTCTGTTCCATTGATCTATATCTCTGTTTTGGTACCAGTACCATGCTGTTTTGGTTACCGTAGCCTTGTAGTATAGTTTGAAGTCAGGTAGCGTGATGGCTCCAGCTTCGTTCTTTTGGCTTAGGATTGACTTGGCAATATTTTAAAACTATCTTAGCTTTTTGAAATTTGATGTGAGCTTCTTGACTTTTCACAGCTTTCCAGTTGATTTTTGGAAACTAAAATATGCATTTGTTCTTCAGCTTGGTTTATCAAACTTTAGTTTGCTTGATACAGGTAAGACTATACTTTCTATTTAAAACTTTCTTCTTTCAAACCTAGACTCACAGAGAATAATTTTACATAGTATAAATGCCTAATGCATAGTAAAAATTCAATTAAATAACAAATATATGATGTAATTATAGAATAATATAAGCTGCAAAGCTAAAATTATTAAATAGATGACATCCATACCACAGTAAGTGAATATTGCTTAAATTAGATGAAATATATAGTTAAGTAAATTGTGAAGTCTCTCAAAGTTTCACATTTTTAGGGGTATGCAATACTAATTTCTAACAGAAAGTTATTACGTGTTATTCCTATGTCATAAATTACTGGTGTGAAATTAAATAAAAGTTGTTGGAACTTTAAATTATTCTGAGCCTTTAGAGGAATGTGGTTATGCAGTTTGAATCACGCAGCATGCAGCTGCAACTACTGCCTTATTTTCCTCTAAATATTTAAGACACTCTCAGATCACTAGGCCTCCTCAAAAAGTAACAAAATGATTTTTCTGGGAATGTAGCAGTCCGTAACCAATCAAATTACTGTAGTATATTCACTGGTCTTGTATGGAATGTGTTATAATCCTGCTAAAACTCCTCTGACTCTGCCTATATAAGTGAATACTTAACTTCTCCAGTTTGGAAAACCAACCGCATTTGTTTGGAGTCAGTGTTTTCCAGGTGGCTACTCTCAAGCTTTGCACCTGTACAGACTCTATACTTAATCACATATTCTGAATCTCATTATTTAAGGTTGACACTACTGTCCTTCAATACTGACCTATAAAAATGACACTATTGAAATCTTGTAACACCATCACCTATTTATAGTACTTTTCCATACTTTCTGAGTCAGCTAATTTTCAGAAGAAACAAAAATCCCTTTTCCCTGCAATCAGCTCTGGCCACCAACCCAACTTCCAGGGATTCAAGTATTGGCTTATAACCTTTTAAGAGGCCTCAATATACTAGCTGTTCATCATTTAGTAAGTCCCAAATTAAAACCAACTGCTGGGTTAAGTCTTTTCTCACATGATTACAAGATAAGTCATTGAAGTGATAGCTAAGCAAAGAAATATTTTCACTGGTAAAGGATAGTGTAAGAGGACATTGGCTCTACATATGCATGTTAGTATAAAAATTCTCATTAGATTTTTTCATGTATGTGACTCTTGCTCTTTCTGTTTATTTCCTACTTCATGGGATGAAGAAGACTAGCACCTTGCTTACTAAGCAGTTTAGTTTGTCTCACTGAGGCAGACTGAGGACTCCATGTAGGCTAAGGAAAATAACCATTAGCCACCTGCTACTCAGAAAATTTCTGAGTTAATTATCAAGAGCTATTATGGCAGTTAATAGACTTGAATTATATAACTAACTGTGGCTCAGAGAAGTCCTTTAGCTGATCTTACATTTAATTTCACTATCTGGGAAAAAAGATACTTGGGAATCATTGTTCTAAACCATTCAGTTACATATAAATTAATACCCAATCCATCTTTTCAAGTGATTGGTGAGTAGGCAAACCAAAAACTTTAAATCACAGGTATAGGAAACAGTTATTTTTAAACTTAAATGTAGCAGGTACTAACATAGCCTCAAAAGAAAAAAAAAATGGCAAGTGTATTATGATAGAGATATTTTTACTCAGTTTCTAAAACTGTACTAAAACTGAATATTATTCTACTTTATTTCAAGTAAGCCCCCTACTAAAGAAGTTGAAAATCAGTGATTTGCTTGTTTTAATGTTTCATTTGGTATTTTGGTAAAGTACAATAGACATTGACAGTAAAAAGCATCAGAATATGCCACCACAAATTATGCCATTTTTGCATAAGGATCATTTTAAACTGAAAGCAATTGAGACACAGCAGACAGAAAAATGTATCTTACCTTCCCAACCTGTGTAAAAATAAGGAATAAATTTCTATTGGTAGAGAAAAGTATCATTTGAAAATGTCTTTCCTTCTCCTGCAGGAAAATGAGGAAGACTCTTTATCACTGTGGATTACTCTTGCCAAAAAAAGGCAATATCTTGAGTCTGAATAATAAAACTTACTAAAAAACCCTCTTATTTTCTATTAGTTTTTTCTATTTACATTCCCACAATTTGCCATCCCCAGATATCCAAACTTTCTTCTTTTGTCTAGTTACTTCTCCACAATTTATCACCCTTTCTTAAAATGTTATATAAACTTCAAATTCTACCCGCTTTATTGAGTGACATTTCTTTGTGAACTCCATGTGTATGAACATAATTAAATATTTTTTATCCTTTTAATTTGCCCTATATTGTCAGAGGTGTTCAAACAAGAGTGACTCCATCTTGATAGGGGCTGAGTAAAATAAGGCTGAGACCTACTGGGCTGCATTCCCAGGATATTAAGGCATTCTTAGTCACAGGATGAGATAGGAGGTCGGCAAAAGATACAGGTCATAAAGACCTTGCTGATAAAACAGCATGCAGTAAAGAACCAGCCAAATCCCATCAAAACTGAGTTGGCGACAAAAGTGACCTCTGGTCATACTCACTGCTCATTATACACTAATTATAATGCATTAGCATGCTAAAAGACAGTCCCACCAGCTCCACGACAGTTTACAAATGCCATGGTAGCATCAGGAAGTTACACTATTTTGTGGAAAAACGGGTGGAACCCGCAGTTCTGGGAACTGCCTACCCCTTTTCCTAGAAAATTTACGAATAATCTACCATTTGTTTAGCATATAATCAATAAACAACCATAAATACAGTGAATCATCAGCCCTCAGGGCTGCTCTGCCTATAGAGTAGCCATTCTTTTATTTCCTTACTTTCTTAAGAAACTTGATTGCACTTTATGGATTAGCCTTGAATTCTTTCTTGTGCGAGATCCAAGAATCCTCTCTTTGGGTCTGGACCAGGACCCTTTCCAGTAACAATATCAGTTTTATTCATGGGCTCCAGTTATTGAATCTAAGAGGGCAGAGGAAGAATTTTTTTCTACCCTACAAGAGGAAGTTAGAACTGCAGCAAAAAAGAAAAACCCCACCAGCTGCTTTCTTTTTGTCTTTCTCCATAGATGAAAATTAATATTGCTTTCCTTATATGGTTGGAACAGCAATTCATCTGTTTATCATAGAATATAAAAAGACTGTTAGAACAATTCTTAATATATTTTTTGGTGGGATCAGAATAAAGTTGTCTTTTCCTGTTTAAATTTGATAAATGACTATTCTAGATGGCAGCAAACATTTTGGAATTAATATAATTGAGTCTTATTGGTGTTGTAAGGAAAGGAAGACTTTACATCTACTCTCTGAGGATTCAATAATAGAATCTACAAAATAAACTGACAGGAGGCAGATTAACAGGAGAAAAGGTAAACAAATTTATTAAGTACATGCCAGCCTCACATGAAAGAAAAGTCAATATCCAAACCCAAGTGAGATCTAGAAGCTTACATACTCTCTTCTCAGGGGAGAGGGAGGAGCAATGCAGGTTGTTTTGGGAAAAGTAAATAATTTTGGAGAAAGATGAATGGGTCTTTAAAAGAATAGGTAATAGCCTATGACAAATTCTGTCTGGGTGTGATGTCAGCAGTCTTCTCTCCTGCAATAAAAGTTTATTCTTCTCTGGTTGATGAGATTCCCAAGGAGGGACTTCATTCCATTTATGGGCTTTTTTGGGGACTCCATATTTGGGTAGATAAGGGAAGTTCAGAGAAAGATTTTCCCTGCGTTAACGGTTCCCAAAGTGCCCTCAATTTGAGGCAGTCAGCATACCAAGGTAGCATATTACAGGATAACATTCCCTGACCTCCTTCAATGTATTGTGTAAATGTATTCTAGGTACATGACCATGAAGTGAGTTGAGATTTGCAGTGACTAGAGGAAACAGAAAGATGCCAAGATAAGTGCTATTGTCTAGAACATTCTCATTCTTTTAGAAATGTTGATCTGATTGTAGGGACACAAACAACCTCACTAAGTAGAAAATGCACAGATTAAGAAAGCTTAACACACCATTAGTGACTTTTTTCCCTTTCCCTTTTCTTTTCAAGGTATAAAAGACTAGACAGATACACATTGCAAGCGCAGAGATCTACCTTGTCTTGCTGCCACCCAAAACTACCTCATATGAAAACTCTTCCTAAATAATTATTTGACTACCTACCAACCTAGAATGATCTCCCCCTTTCATTGGTTGGAGCTTGCCCTCTGCTTACACAGGGAGGTACTCAATTTCTGCATGGCAATTTTGCAATATGGTGTCAATTTTTTTAGGATGAAAAACAGTTGTTACTCTCAAAATAATTGAATTTTGATTAAAACAAGAATGCTTGATAGAGCTTACACAAATAACTGGCCTATGAGATCCCCTAACCGATTGGCCACAATGGTCAGGAAATCATATGTATCAATATACCTTCCAACTTCTTATAGATAAATACAAATGGGAAAGGCAAAAAATATTGGGGCTAGACAATGCAGTATTGATGGCCAAGATTTATCTGGTGTAAATATAGACTTTTATTCTTATGGTAAAATATGATGAAAATTTTGAAAACATTACTATTATTGGGGAAAAGGGAACTGTTATGAAGCATCAAGGGCATACTTCTTACTGTCATGGCATTTATAATAATTTATGTATGTGATATTTTTACATGGTTTTATGTTCTTTGTTATGCATTAAATGTTAATATTAACATTTGATTAAGTTTGTTATTATTTTAAACTCTCTTTGTGTAAGTGCTAATGGAAGCTTCTGAAACTACCAAGTTATGGCTTGTTCTGACATTAAAAAAAATCTTAAAATAGTTCAGGAGGAAGCAATATAGGTATATTTTTCCAAATAGGGCTTCATTCAGACATTTTTCCACATATTGTAAAAACTGATTTTAGTGTAGTTTTGGCATTTTAATTTGCACTAAGGTGCTAAATGTAGATATGCTAGTGACTCAATTTGAATACACTAAAAATAAATTCAGAAAGTCCTAGCTAGAACAATTAGGTGAGAGAAAGATATAAAAGACATCCAAATAGAAAAAGAAGTAGTGAAATTATCTCTTTTCCTAGATGATATTATTATATACCTAGAAAACACTGAAGACTCTACCAAAGGGTCCCTGGAACTGATAAATGGCTTCAGTAAAGCTTCAGGGTACAAAATCAATGTACAAAATTGGTAGCATTTCTATACATCAATAACATTCAAGCTGAGATCCAGATCAGGAACACATTCCTATTTATAATAGCCACAAAAACATTACATACCTAGGAATACATCTAACAAAAGAGGTGAAAGATCTCTACAAGGATAACTGTGAAACGCTCCTAAAAGAAATAGTAAACAACACAAACAAGTGAAAAAATATTTCATGCTCATCAATTAGAGGAATCAATATTGTTAAAATAGCCATACTGCCCAAAGCAATCTAGAAATGCAATGCTATTTCCATCAAAATAACAATGTAATTTTTTATATAATTAGAAAAAAAACTATTCTAAAATTTGTATGGAACACAAAAGACCCTGACTAATCAAAATAATTGTAAGCAAAAAGAACAAAGGTGGAAATATCACATTACCTGACTTCAAACTATACTATCATGATATAGTAACTAAAACAGCATGGTACTGATACAAAAAAAAAGATGCATAGACCAATAAAACAGAATAGAGATCCCCAAAATAAAATCATACAACTAAGCCATCTGATTTTTGACAAAGTTGACTGAAAAAGCAATAGATAAAGGAATCTGTGTACTCCAATGGGTAAAGGACCCTCTATTTATACAATAATGGTGCTGAGATAGTTGGTTAGCCATATGCGGAAGAATGAAAACTTGACCACTACCCTTCACCATACACAAAAATTAATTAAAATTGATTAAAAATTTACCTATAAGACATCAGAATATAAGAATACTAGAAGAAAACTTAGGAAACATTGGCTTTGAAAGAGAATTATGACTAAATTGTAAAAAGCAATTGCATCAGAAACAAAACTCAACAAGTGAGACCTAATTCAACTAAAGAGCTTCTGCACAGCAAAATAAACTAGCAACAGCATAAACAGACAACCTACAGACTGGGAGAATATATTCACAAACTATATATTAGACAAAGGTCTAATATCCAGAATCCATAAGAAACTTATATAATTCAGCAAGCAAAAAGCAAATAACCCAATTAAACAGCTGGCAAAAGACATGAACAGACACTACCCAAAATAATTTATACAAGTGGCCAATAAACATGAAAAACTGCTCCACATCAATGATCATCAGAGAAATGCAAAGCAAAACCACAATGAGATATTATGACACACCAGGCAGAATGGCTATTATCAAAAAGTCAAAAAACAACAGATGATGGTAAGGCTCCTGAGAAAAGGGAACAATTACATACTGCTAATGGGAATGTAAATTAGTTCAACTACTGTGGAAAGCATTCTGGAGATTTCTCAGATAACTTGAATCAGAACTGCTATTCAACCTACTAATCCCATTACTGGGTATATGTCCAAAAAAAATAAATCGTTCTACTACAGAGATACATGCACACATATGTTCATTGTTATTCACAACAGCAAATACATGAAATTAACCTAGAGGTCCATTAACAGTAGACTAGATAAAGAAAATATGGTATATATGCACCATGGGATACTACGCAGCTATTAAAAAGAATGGAAAAATGTCTCTTGCAACAACACGGATGGAGCTGGAAGCCATTATCCTATGTGAATTAATGCAGGAACAGAAAATCAAGTAACACATATTCTCACTTATAAGTGAGAGCTAAACATTAAGTACTCATGGTCATAAAAAGGGTAACAATAGACACTTGGTATGTGTCATACTGCAGAGTGGAAGGAGAGAGTGGAACAGGAATTGAAGAACTAACTATTGCATACTATGCTCAGTAGCTAGGTAACGGGATCATTTGTATTTCAAGTCTCAGCATCACTCAATATACCCATGTTACAAACCTGCACATGTACCCACTGAATCTAAAATTAAAAAAAATAACAGTTGATGTTTTAAAAAGATCAATAAAATTGACAAACTTTTAGCTAGATTAACTGAAAATAAAAAGGGAAAATATGCAAATTTATAAGAAATAAAAGAAGAAACCTTGCAACTGATGCCTCAGAAATTAAAAGAATTGGTAAAAAAATGTTATGTACATTTATACTTAAACAAATTGGATAAAAAAATGGATAAATTCCTTGTTGTATACAACTTACCAATACTGAATCATTAAGAAATAACAAATCTGGCCAGGCCTATCACTAGTTAGAAGAATGGATCTGCAATCAAAATCCTTCCAACAAAGCAAATACCCAACCTTTCACTAGTGAATTCTACCAAATATTTCAAGAATTAATGGAAATCAATCTCAAAGTTTTTCAAAAATTGAAGAGGAAAGAACACTTTTCTGTGATCAGAATGTGTGCTGCTAAATTCATGTGCTGAAACTTAATCCCCATTGCAGTGGTATCAAGAGGTGGAAACTTTGGGGAAATGATTAAGTCATAAGGGTTCCATTATACATGAATCAGTGACTTATAAGAAGGGTGGAGAAAACTTAGTCTTTTTTAGCTCTTTAACTCTTCTGTCACGTGAGGACATAGAATATACCCTCTTTTGCCCTTCTGCCTTCTGCCATGTGAGGACACAGCATTCAAACCATCCACAAGACACAGCAACAAGGCTTCATTTTGGAAGAAGAGAGAGTGTCTCTTACCAGACACCAAATTTGTCAGAGCCTTGATATTGGACCTTTTGCCCTTCAAGAATGTGAGAAATAAATTTAAATTATTTATAAATTGTTCAATCTGTAGTATATTGTTATCACAGCAAAGATGGACTAAAACATACTATGAAACTTATTTTAGGAGGCCAGCATTACCTTGACACCAGAACTAGAAAAAGACACTGTAAGAAAAGAAAACAATAATCTAGTATTGCTGATGAATAGATATTCAAAAATTTTCAACAAATATTAGCAAACTTATTTTAACAGAATATTAAAAGAATTATGCCATGTAACCAATTCAGGAATGGTTCAACATAAGCAATCAATCAGTATGATATATCACATTAACAACAAGAAGAAAAAAAATCACATGGTTATCTCGATAGATGTAGAAAAAGTATTTAACAAAATTCAACAATATTTCATAGTGAAAACACTTAACATTCTAGGAATAGAGAGAAATAGCCTAACATAATGACTGCCACATATAAAAAGCCCACAAATAATATCACTCTCAATGTTAAAATACTGAAGGCTTTTTCTCTAAGATCAGGAAAAAGAGAAAGATGTATACTTTTGACACTTCTATTTTGCATAGTACTGGAAGTCATGGCCCAGGCATTTAGGCAATAAAAAGAAATAAAAGGCATCCACATCAAAAAAGAAGTAAAATTATCTCTGTTCATATATAACATTATTTTAAATATAAAAAGCATAAACAGTCACAAAATATAACAAAACAAATTATTATAGATAATAAATAATTTTAGCCAAATTGCAGGATATGAAGTCAACGTTCAAAAATCTGTTGTGCCTCTAGGTGTTTTATACCAGAATGAAAACACGTTAAAATGTACTTTGATTGTTAAATTGTGTGGAATATAAAACAACTTAAGATTTATTTTAAAGTTAAAGGCCTATAGTGAAAACTGAAATCTAAACATTTTATTTCTATTTTACGGGTTAACTCTAAAGATAACAAAATAAATAATGTAGATTATATAAACAAAGTGGCCTAAGTATGAAATTTGGTTAGAAGTTCTTAACAACTTGTACTAAAATTTTTCTTTGAGTTTTATTTCGTAAATTTTATTTCGTAAATTATTACACATCCTCTAAAATTTACTATTTAAAAAAGTTCTATTATTAACCTCATTATCCTTATCTTAAGCTAAATGTAAAATTATAAAATACATTGGAATCTTTATATCCCATATATATATATTTATGTGATATATGTGTATATATCACCTACTTGACTTACTCCAGTGACCCTTACACCCAAATGAGCTGTGCAAGTAAGCCACTGTGACCAACTTTCAGTCACAGTATGACTCCAATGACTCCATGGAACTTGTGCCTACTTTCTGTAAACCCACCAATTAGAAATCTACTAGAAGACATATGAGGTTAAAGCTCAGATAATCAAAATTACTTCTTTTTAAAATGTACTTCTATAAGAGAGTCAACTCTAAAAAAATTCATATCAGAGATTTAGCAAAAAAGAAAGAAAAAGAATGAACGAATGAACAAAAGAAGGAAAGAAAGGAAAGAGAGAAAGAAAGAAAGAAAGAAGGAAGGAAGGAAGGAAGGAAGGAAGGAAGGAAGGAAGGAAGGAAGGAAGGAAGAAAGAAGAAAGAAAGAAAGAAAGAAAGAAAGAAAGAAAGAAAGAAAGAAAGAAAGAAAGAAAGAAAAAGAAAGAAAGAAAAGAGAGAGAAAGAGGGAAAGAAGGAAGGAAGGAAGAAAGGAAGGAAGGAAGAAAGGAAGGAAGGAAAATTTCCTTGGAATGTCTTGGGTCTATTCATGCTTATTTTGACATCCTTTGACACGCAACCCTAGCAATATTTTAAATATTGATCACTGACCTTTGGATAATACCCCCCCATAGTACACAGAAAAGAACACACAACTTTATTCACTTTTTTACATTTTGAAAATACTACAAGAGAAGAGTAAAAAATTGTTATTTAGATTTAACCCACATTTAACCAGAAAATTTAATAAATCAGTACTACACTAGTTCTCATAAATTACATATAATTTTCTTATTTTAAATAAATTGCTTGACTTGAAATAAATCAAGCATTTCATTAAATGTTTATTCAGTGGATTTCAAAATGTGATTTTGAAGCCTTTTTTCCACATTTATAAAATTGTAATTAAATACAAATAAAAATAATATAAAATGTACAATCATAACCATTTGAAGTGCACGTTTCAGTACCATTAAGTATATTTACATTGTTATGCTATCATCACAACCATTCATCCACAAAACTCATTTTATCTCACAAAACTGAAATTTTATACTCATTAGTAACACCTCATTCTCCCCACCATTCTGTTGTCTGTTTCTATGAACTTGGAAGGCAGTTATGCTCACCACTATACCAAAACTACCTACCTCTATGAATTTGACTATTCTGCATACCTCACATAATTTGAATCATACAGCAGTAATTTTTCTTTTGTGACTGGATTATGTCACTTAATTTGTAGTAAATTTCTCTATTTTTTTGGTTTCTTGGCTTCCATTTTGTAATATAAGTTGAACTTTTTTATACCAGAAATAGGGCTTAGTCACCCTTAACACACTTTCCATTTATCTGCCTCCTCCCAGTTTTAAAATGTGTTTGATGTATATGTCTTCCTTGTACTGTCACCTCTTGGTGACCATCTTTATGGAATATATACATAGAAAGATAATAATCTTTCTATATATAGAAAGAAATAATATTTCTATATATAGAAAGAAATAATAGTTCTATATATAGAAAGATAAATATAGAAATAATATTTCTATATTATTATATAGAGAGATAAATATAGAAATAAATATAGAAATAATATTTCTATATATAGAAAGATAAATATGTACACCATGTGTAGATATTTATTTATGGGATATATATGTATATATCACCTACTTGACTTACTCCAATGACCCCTACACCCAAATGAGATGTGCAAGTAAGCCACTATGACCACCTTTCAGTCACAGTATGACTCCAGTGACTCCATGGAACTTGTGTCTACTTTCTGTAAACCCACCAGTTAGAAATCTCCATGGGAAATTGGCTTGGGTAAAATCCCAGACCCCAAGAAAGGCTTTGATACACAGGTCTCTCTCTCTCTCTCTCTGTCTCTCTCTCTCTCTCTCTCCCCCTCTGTCTCTCTCTCTCTCTCCTCTCTCTCTCTCTCTTCTCTCTCTCTCTCTCTCTGTCTCTTCTCCCTCTCCCCCTGCTGGTAGAGTGCATGTGTCCCAGAGGGCCCCCCTTATCCCTTTGGCTCTGCAAGGCAGGTTGCCCCCTTTTCTCTGGAATATGAAAGTAATACAATGCTTCTGTTTTTCATGTGTTTTATTGTGTTGCCTCTTCTGAGTCTCACCTGGCCAACATACCCAAACCTAATCTATTTGTTAGGTATTTCCTAGAGTGGCTATCTTGGTATCTTGGTAGAAATAAACTGGATGTAGGTCAGAGAAGAACCACAAGGGTGACTGACAGTATAAACAAGTTTCCTGTGAGAGGGATATCCAGTAACAAATTATCTCTTATTATGAATTGCCTTTTACTCTGTTGTGCTTTTTGATGCACAGAAGTTTTAAAATTCCATGAAGTCCAATTTATACAGCTTTTTGCCCTTTTTTTTTTGAAAAGCAAATCACTGCCAAATCCATGAGGCTTTTCTCTTATTTTTTTTCTAAGAATTTTAGTTATTTTAGTTTTAGCTCTTATGTTTAGGTCTTTCATCCATTTTGAGGTAACTATATTTGTATATGCAATAAGATTAGAAATCTATTTGATCATTTTGCATATGAATATTTATTTATCCAATACCATTCATTGAAAAGACTGTCCTTTCCCTACTGAATGATCTTGGAACTCCTATGGGAAAATCATTTGGCTATAGATGTGAGAGTATTTTATGTGCTTGTTTTCTATTAAATTGTTCTGTATGTCTATCTTCATGCCAGTACCACAATGTTTTGGTAATTCTGGCTTCTTAGTATGTTTTAAAAGCAATAAGTATGAAACTTTCAAAGTTCTTTTTTGTCAAAATTATTTTGGCTATTGAGGACCCTTTGAGATTCCCTATAAATTTTCAGATGGATTTTTTCTTTATCTGAAAAAAACATTATTGAGATTATGAGAGAGATTGCATTAAATTTATACATCATTTTGGATGAATTGACAACTTTACAATGTTACGTCTTCCAGTCCATGAAAATGGAATATATTTTCATTTATTGGAGTCCTCTTTAATTCATTATAGTATTTTTTTTACTTTTTATTATATATCTTATAACTTCAAAAATTTTATCTTTAAGTATTTTTGATATCATTGCAATAAAATTGTTTTAATTCTCTTTTCTGGTTATTGATTGCTAGTGTGTGAAAACCAAACTGTTATTTTCATGTTGACTTTATATTCTATAACTTTACTAAATTAATTCTATTAATTAACACTTTTGAAAAGTCTTAAGATTATCTATATGTAAGATCTTGTCATCTGCAAACTGAAAATTTTACTTCTTTCTTTGTAATTTGGATGGCTTTGTTGTTTTCAGAGACCCAGGAAAGCTGATGATGTAGATGAAGTTCAAAGGCAGTCTGCTGAATAAATTTTCTTTTGCTCAGGAAGCCCATCTTTTGGTTCTATTCAGGCCTGCCATTGATTGAGTAAGGCCCACTCACATTATGGAGAGCAATCTACTTACTCAGGGTTCACTAATTTAAATGTTAATCTCATCCAAAAACACTGTCCCCATTGACATGCAATATTAACCATCACAGCAGAGAGTATTGAAACCTACTACTATTATAGTAGCACTGTCTATTTCTCCTTTCAACCTGTCAGTGTTTTAATTCATATATTTAGGAGCTCTGATGTTTGGTGCACGCATATTTATAATTGTTATATTTTCTTAATGAATTATTACTTTTATAATTATATAATGTCTTTTTCTGTCTTGTAAACTTTTTTTTCTTAAATCTATTGTGTGTAATATTTCTAGAGTCATCACACTGCTATCTTAGGGCTAGTTACTATTTCCATGAAATATCTTATTCCAAATTTTACATTCAAGCTATGTATGTTTTTATGTCTAAAGTGAATTTCTTGTACACACATAGTTGGGTCCTATTTTTTAATCCTTTCTTCTAATACTTTTTATTTTGTTGGGAAGTTTAAGCCCTTTACATTTAAAGTAGTTACTGATGGAGAGAATTTATTATTGCCAGTTTGTATTTTTTTGATATGTCTTATAACATTATTTTCCTAATTTATACACCCGCTGCCTTCTTTTGTCTTGTGTTTTTTTAGTGGGACATTTTGATTTCTTTCTTTGTCTTTTGCATATATTCTATAGACATATCCTTTTTAGTTATTAATGGGATTACACATGACATCTTAAACTTATAGGAGTACATGTTAAATGGTAACTTCAACTACATATGAAAGATCTACTTCTTTATTTCTCACCCCATTACGTCAACTTTATGTTATTGATGTCACAAATGTCATCTTTATTTTGTGCTCATTAATGTAGATTTGTATTTTTTATAATTTTGTCTTTTAAATCTTGTAAAGAAATAAGAAGAGTTATTAACCAAATTTACAATAAAATTAATTTATATATTTCTTCAGATATTTGCCTTTATCAAAGACCTTTATAGTTTTGTTTGGCACCAAGTTACTTTATAGAGTCTTTTATTATTGTAGTAGAGGTCACCTGGTAATAAACTTCTTCAGTTTTTCCTCATCTGATAATATTAATATTTTTCCTCATTTTTGAAAGACATTTAGCTAAATGTTGAAATTTTAGTTGACTGCTTTATATTTTTCCCTTCAGCACTTTAAATATATCACCCCAGTGCCTTTTGGCCTCAAATCTTTCTGCTGAAAAATTCATTGATAATGTTATTGACACCTTATATGTGATGTGTTGCTTTCCTCTTGCTGCGTTTGTGATTCTTTATCTTTGACTTTCAACAGTTAGATTATGTGTTTTCATGTGGGTCTCTTGCATCAGCTTGGTGTTTGCTGAATGTCTCATATTTGTATATCCATATCTGTCTTCAAATTTGGGAAGTATTTTGCTATTTTGAGAAAATTATCTGCTTTCTTCTTGTCTCGTTCTAGGACTTTGAAAATGTACACATTGGTCCACTTGATGGTGTCCCAACAAGATCTTAGGTTCTGCTGACTGTTCTTTATTTCTTTCTGTTTTTGCTCCACTCCTCAAACTTGATAATTTCAAATTACCCTGCTTCAAATTCAATGACTCTTTCTTCTGTGTGAGACTGCTCTTGAACCCCCTAGTAAATTTTTAAATTCATTGTTTTTAAATTTTTCAGATCCAGAATATCTATTTTGTATTGCTCTTTCTACCTGTTTGTGAATATTCCTATTTTGTTTATATATTGTTTTCCATACTTATTTATCTTTCCATTTTTTAAATTGAAAATTTCCGTTTTTAAATTTTTTAAATTTTAGTTTATTTGAGAATATTTAGGAATATTGAAAAATACTTATCTAATAAATCCATAGCCTATGTTTCTTTTCAGTTTCTAAAGATTTATTTTGGTCCTTTGAAAGGACCACAATTCCTTGTTTCTCTACGTGTCTCCATTATTTTTGGTTGAAAAATCGGCATTAACGGAAAACAGCCACCTCTCCCTGCCGTTGAAGACTGGCTGTATGCAAGGAAATACCTTCGTTAAACTGAGTGATTTAAAAGCATAAGGTGTTCTCAGGCCTTATCTACATATGCATTTTTCCTAGGTTTGAGCATGTTCTTATTTCACCATGTACACAGCTGCTTTCACTCATCCTTTTTTCCCTAGGAGTCTCACTCTTATTTTTTCTCAAGGTCTTAAAATATTATGTTGTATTCTCCTGCTCATAATCTGTTGCTTTCATGTACGCATGGGTCTGTAGTCCCTCTGCTGCTTTCATCAGCCTCCAATCTGATATAAAAGTTATGCTATAGCTTCTGCTGAGGTCTGAGTCAAGTGAGACAGAAACCCATCCCCTGGGAGGGTCTCAGATGAAATAAGTTATACTAATTATCTTCTGTCCTGATATAGGAGCTGGACATTGAGTAGCTTCCTCCCAAACAAGCTACACCACATTTCTTTTTCTTTCTTTCTTTCTTTCTTTCTTTCTTTCTTTCTTTCTTTCTTTCTTTCTTTCTTTCTTTCTTTCTTTCCTTTCTTTTCTTTCTTTCTTTCTTTTTCTTTCTTTTCTTTCTTTCTTTCTTTTTCTTTCTTTCTTTCTTTCCTTTCTTTTCTTTCTTTTCTTTCTTTTCTTTCTTTCTTTCTTTCTTTCTTTCTTTCTTTCTTTCTTTCTTTCTTTCCTTTCTTTCTTTCTCTCTTTCTTTCCTTCTTTCTTCTTTTTTTCTTTTCTTTTTTTTTACCATTTTGAGTGTGTCTTTTTCTTGATTGGGTATTTGCTTAGTTGATGTCTACCCTTGAATGTGAATGCTTTTTGGAATTCTCACAAATCAATTTTACTCAATCTACTTCTGCCTCCTTGATGTTTCTGTGGGGAAATAAGGGCCTAGAGCTTTCTAGTTTGACATCTTTCTGACACAAAGGTGATTTTTTAACAAAATGTATACCACAAAGCCAATACTGATACAAATAACATTAACTAGTAGCAATTTTCAAATAAATACAGTTATAAAACAATAAATTTATATAAAAAAGAAATAACCAAATATATATAGATTTTAACTCTATTATTGTACAGGTGTTATTTACCAATAGCTCTTTTAAACTTATTTATGTCAAATATTATCTGATGAGGAAAATCAAGACAGCATAAAAATTACTCTACAAAAAAGAAGAGTATAATTGTTTTCTCATTTGTAAATAAGAGATTTTGACTATAGTATGTCTAAAATATCTTTCTTCCTTTTATTAAGACAATCACCAATTTGTGATTCTTAATTCTCTGAGATAAGAACTCTTCTATTAAATCTCGGTATAATTTCCTTATATGGAAATTATTGGAGGTTGTTATTGGAGGTTGTAGTAATTTTTTTTTTCTGGGAATGGCAATGCCACTTCCAGTCTTTGGGACTTAGCAGTGGCAACATCAGGTCAAGCATACCTGTCTTTGGGTTCCAGGGCATTATACTCTTGCACTGGTGTTAGCAGATTGACACAGGCTGACTCTTGAATCCCCAGTTGAATTTTGCAAGTTCTAGCAGTGGCAAAAGTGACCCAGGCAGGTGGGTTACTCCTCAGGCCCATGGACAGCAGGTGTGACATAAGCAATGACAGTAGGTGTGATGTAAGCAATGACAGAAGGTGGGACAACCTTCTGGCTCCCATGTGGTTCATGCTGGTGTTGGCAGTAACTGCAATTGGCTGGGCACTCCAGTTCCTCCTATTGCAGGTGCCACATGTGATTTTGTGGCAGCTGTGGTGGTAGTGGTAGATAGGTATGCCCATCCTCAGGCCCCTGGTAGGAATGTAGGTGTCAATGGTGGAATATAAGTCAGGGAAATTCCCAGGCCTTGGGCAGTGGGGTAGGTAATGCTACACTGGGAGGGTCTGTTTGCAGGCCTTCCAGTTGTGCATGCAGGTGCTATCTGTAGTAGGCAGGAGTGGAGTTACTTCTGCATCCATGGTGGAATGCTCCTGTGGGGATGACAGTGCCAGTGCTGTGGCCCAGATGCTGAGGAGGGTAGGGTTGCATTTATTTCCACCAGCCATAGACAGGTAGCTGGGAAGCACACCACTTTAGCCCCAGGTGGCGGTTGCAGGTGGGATTGTCTGTCTTCAGGGTGATATAAATGCGTGATGGCCCGGCTGCTGAGGACATTCAAACTGCTAATGGCTTGCACTTTGGACCTGGTGGTAGCAGCCAGTAGCAGTGGTGCCTGCAGGTAGGGGATGTCAATGGGGCTGCAGGAATGTGGAGATTGAAAGACTGTTGTGCCCCAAGGAAGGATGGAGTTCTGTGTGGCTTTGCAGTAGCTGCTTAAGGTTCAGGGGTATGTGGGACCCTGTGAGTCACTCTCTAGAGTAATGCCTTCAACCAGTGTCCAGGCAGCTCCCAATGTTGGTCTCAGGGTCTGTGACAGTTAGGGGGCTGTCTCATGGATAGAATTGCTGTAGTTTGTGTTGAGGATGTGGATCACTGAGGGTATCTCGCTCACCCAGTTTCTCTGGAATCTTGTATAATCCTGGTCAAGCAGGTTGCCTCATTTTCATTTCCGTTGTTGCCTTAAGTGTTTTTTTTTTTTTTTTTGTCACTTCTATGTTGAATTCCAGTTTTCCTTTTTAGATGATCTATTTGTAGTGTGATTATCAAATTCCTATTTTGGTTCATTTTTGTAGAGGTGCTGAATATCAGATGCCTCCAGTCAGCCCTCTTGAAGTCCCTCCAAATAATTTTTAAATAAGCACAAATACATAGTAGAGACAGTGAATTAGCTAATTCTTCTTCAACCTCTATGCAGACTTTATTATGAAACATCTCTCTGTAGTACCTTCTTGGGTGTTGTTACCAAAAAAATCCCTAGGGCCTCATTATGAAGTATTTCACCTACTGCATATGGCAGTCCTATAGGATGAAAAGAACTTCAAAATTAGACATTTCAATATATTATAAATTTTTCACATTAAAATGAAAACATGAGTATTAGCTTTTGGCAACTTTTTAATTAAGTGATGAACTTTTTTGGAGTGATTATTAAGACTCACAAGATATTTGTTTGATATTTGAAATGTTCTGCCTGGATCTGATGCATCTATGGTCAAATTTTTCTTTGTAAAAAATACAGTAGAATGTTGCACATATTTCTGTCCCTGATAGCCTTAAAGTAGTTCCAAAATGTACAAGCAAAATTTTTAATTACCAGTGATATTACCATTATTTAAGGATTTTAGTTTCAAAATAAGCATTTTATTTTCCTTCCTTCTTGCTCTTAGAAATTCCAGATTTAGCACAAATAGTTTTAATATTCACATATGATATATGATCTGCTTATTCTTTTATGTGGGCTCTATGATTATGATGTGTGTATTAGAGTTCTCTGGAGAAAGAGAAGCCATAGGGTAATTGATAGAGCAAGAAAGGGGGGGAGAGAGAAAGAGTGTGTGTTTGTGTTATGTGTGTGTGTGTGTGTGTGTGTGTGTGAGAGAGAGAGAGAGAGAGAGAGAGGGAAGACAGAAGACAGAGTAATATTTATTACAAAAATTTGGCTTACATAATTATGGGGACTGTCACATCCCAAGATCTGTACTGCAGTTGGCAGACTGTCGACTCCAGAGAGCCAATGAAGTACCTTTAACAGGAAGCTTGGCAAGCTCAAGACCCAGGAAGAGCCAGTGTTTCAGTTTGCATCCAAAGGCATAAAAAACAATGTTCCAGCTTAAAGGCAGTCAGGCAGGAGGAGTTTTCCTTTATTCAGCTTTTATGTTCTATTCAGGCCTTCAACTGTTTGGAAGAGGCCCATCCACATTAGGGAGGTAAATCTGCTTTATGTAGACTACCAATTCATAACTTAATTATTTTCCATTAACAAGCTAGATAATTTATTAGGAGCACATTAAACATAAAGAAACACTTTTTTTGTAATTTTTTCTATGGCATTGTCCAGAAGTTAGTCATCAGCATCCTCCTGCGCTTCTCCCATTTATCTTTAATCTATTCCTGGCGTGATACTTGCAGCTCTTTAGATACAATGATAAAGTGGATTACTAAAAGCCAGGTAATGCATCTATGCTAACCCAAAAGAATCAATTACCACAGGATTGAAGCTAATAGATTCAGTTTTAGAGAATTTTGTAAAGAGAAATTAAAGACTAATATTCCTAGTATTCATTAATGATCATAGAAATTACTTTGTCATCAATCTATCTTGTGTCCAAGTGACTTACTTCTTTTGTTTCTTGGGTGATACTTCAGGTCTTCTTGGTCTAAAAGTAAACATTGTAATTAAATATTATGCTTACAATATTATCTTAAGTATTATACTAAGGTGGTGAAATAATGAATAATATTTTCTTTTTAATTTTGAGGGAATTGTTTTTCACAATAAAATGGCTAAAGTACTCTAGTATTTGCTAAAATGCATGCTTATAATATATAAAAGTTACATTTTCATAGTCACTACAGTATATGTAATAGCACTTTTAAAAAATAAGTGACAAAAATTGTGGTTTCTTTCCTGAATATTTTACTTATTTAATATCTTTATGATTTTCATGAATTTATTCCAAAATTCACAAACAGCTTATCCATTCACTTTTAAAACTCTTTGCACTGTTAATTTAACCATTTTGTATTTATAGAACAATCAGTGTATGCATAGAAGTTATAGTTTTTTGACATATACCTGATACATTTTTTATCTGATCAGGGTCATGTCTCAATTTCTGCTTAGAGTAAAATTGCTACCCAGCAGAGCCCCAGAGCCAATCCTGTGGGTTTAAAAGGCTGAAGGAGAAGTTTCTATGAGAGGCTGGTCTATGAAATCAAATATATGCTCTGTTTGAATTCAGGTTATTCTATTTACTCTGTATGTAACCTTGTGAAATTTAATTCCTTTATATTTAAAATGGAGATAATTATATTGACTACTTCTTCATGTTGATTGTTCTGACTTTTTTCTGTCTCATAGATTTTTAGATTCTATCTTCTTATTTCCGTATTTTTAAATTAAGTGTTATCTTCTAATCATTGTTTTGGTCCATTATTTTGATTTTCTTCATTGGGGAATTGAAAAATACATATGTTGTGTTTTCTGTTGCTCGTGTCACATATCTATCATTTTCTCTCTAATATAATATATATATATTTAACTTAATTACCTTTTTAGTATACATCCACATCCTATTGGTATCAAAATGTCAATTTTCTATGGTCTCAAAACTTTGCATTAGGTAATTGCTTTATTATATTTTTTAAGTAATGATAATTTTTAAAATTATTTTCATTTGCTCCATTAAGACCTTTTCTTGGTGGTAAATATTTACTTGCCATTAATTTTTTCTGCTCCTTTCCTCTGCTTTTCAATATAATATATTTTAATAAGCCCTGTGTTGGTTCACTTTTTATTACTATTCTTCTTTAAATGTGATAAATCCTTCCTAGACTATATATTTGCAGGTAGATTTTGTGGGTCAGAGGCAAAGAACATATTTCAGGACAAGGTAGATTACACTTATGCCATAAAATTTATTTAGCTTCCCCTGCTCCTAAGTCTACTGAGATGGGTAAAGCAGGGCTTCTTTCAATGTAATTTCTCCTCTCATTTATATCACCAACATGTTACTTCCAGCAAGCATGGTTACTTTTTGTTATTCCTGAACCATCTCTGTCTTTTCGGCTTTTTGAGACTTCATGATAAGTGAAGTGTCCTGACTGTTCTCTATTTAATAACCTCCACTCAAATCCATTACACGATCCCTCTTGTCCATTATGTTTATTTTGAGGCTGAACCTTGAGGGCTGAATCATTTGAGCTCATGCCTATTAAACTTATTGATGTGACTACATACATACCTCATCCCCCAGAAGGAGGTGGCCTGACATAACAGTACAATGCAAAATCAAACTCAAGAAATGGTTATGTCAACATCTAGAAAGCCACACGTTTAAATATTTGGGGTACAGTATAGCCAGTGGTAGTATATACTTTAAATCAAGAAATGATATACGATGCTATAATATATGGGTCCACTAATGAAATAGTAAGGGTAGGAGTAGATCTTTCCACTATTATATTATTTCCACTATAATATTATTATATTATAATATTACTGTAAGTAATAATTGACTTAGAGAATCTTTGTTTGTGCCTTTTAACCATGGGTTTGGTGTGCTTGCATGTTCTAGTATCCAAGGGAGAAATATTTTGATCTGGAAACACAGCAAATGATTCCATTAACTTGGTAGTTAAAATAAACTTTAGCTCATTTGGGCTCCTCATGCCACTTATGTGAAACAATAAAAAAGGAGTTACTGTAATGTTTGTGTTAACTCTTCTAGATTACTAAAGATAAATTTTTTTTGCTGCTATAGACATGCTCTAGATCAATAACTGGAGCCCAATAGCTTCATTGGGGTTCCTTTTAGCACTTGATTTTCCTATAATAAAGATAACCCCTGTTCTAATAAAAACAAAACTTGCAGCAACTCAATTAGCAGGATTACTAGATTCAGATTCTTTGGAAATGAAGTTTTAACACCCTCCAAGGTAAAGACATCCATTCAGAGGATGTATCATCAGAAAGTAAAGAGAACTAGGAATAAGTAGCAGAAGAAAGAAGTTATCATTTTCAACTTAAGCCTCAATCAGCTACATAGGTGATGACTATAGTAGCCAAGTATATGTTACATTAATCATTACCCTCATTTCCTATTACCATTTGCTATTGGTGGTGACTAACATTACAAAGTAGGTTACAGGTGGAAAGATGACTGAATTGAGACAAGCCTGTAATGTGTTTTTCCCCTGTGAGATGAGTTTCTTCAACTGAATGAAAAGGAACAATGGATATTAAGCATAAAAGAAAAAAAAAAACCTATATGGGTTATTTTCTATTGGCTTGATCAAATCCATTATCCAGCCTTCTCTGTTTTACTTTTTGCCCTGAGATGCTGATTCTAGATTATCACCTAGGCTTCCTTGCTGGTTAGATTTCATATATTAGGCACTTGTAGGATACCAAAATGTGAGAGGAAATAGAGGTCTGGGTATTTCTTTTCTCTTGCCTTCCTGATTCAGAGTCATATTGTTAGTATTAGCTGTGTTCTTCTGTGACTACAGGTGCTAATGAAAGGCCCCAATTACTTGATGCCAGCTTACGTAGACTGATATTATTTATCCCACATGCTCCTTAGTTGTAGAAAAAGTTTTCTGCTGTTGCTAGTTTCTCCATATTTGTAACAGAAAAATAGCATAAACAAAAATAAAATATGGGAGTTGTCAGAAAAATATTGTTACATCTATAATATGGAATACTGTTCAGACAATAATATAGTTTTTAAATCTGTATTTTTACATGGAAATCTGTGAACAAAAATTGTTAGGCAAAATGAATAATTTATAAAATATTATGTGTAGGATAATTGTAATTTCCATATCCTGAAATTTTAACAGCTGTAACTCTCAGTGATTATATTATAGTCACTCCTTGACATGGCTTTTTACGTTGTGTGTATTTAAAATATGAGTACGTAATGTTGTGACTAAGTAAAAAAAGTTTGTTTTGTAAATAAATGAAGTAATATTTCATCCATTCAAAAATTACTTACTATGTCAATCATCCTGCTGGTGCCATGGATACAATGGTGAAGACATTAGAAACTGTTCTCACAAAGCTAATAGTCAAGAGTGAGTAAATGCAATAGCTTAGTGATAATATGAATTTCAAAAAGAAAGTAAAAATTAGAAGACAGAACGGTCAGGTACCATTTTTGATATGGCAGCTTGTATTCTTACGGTAATTTTTCTATTTATATATATTTTTACATATTTAATATTATGACCTAATTACATATATATATAAAACTTACTACATTAACATTTTCCACTTCACTTATTTTTTTCAATATAAATGCTTTCTTTGTAATCCTGTTATTTAGTATGTTAAAATATGCATTAAAAATTTGCCATTTTAACCAGTTTTAAGTACATAATTTAGTGGAACTAAATACATCTATATTATTGTATAAACATCAGCACATTCACTTCTAAAAGTTTTTCACGATCCTAAACTGAAGCTCTGTACCAATTAAACAATAATTCTCTATTTCTTCCTGTTGCTATAATAATCAATATTTTGCTTTCTGTCTCTATGAAGTTGACAATTCTGTTTACCTCATGTAAGTAGAATTATACAATATTTACCCTTTCTTGCCTGGCTTCTTTCTTTTTTAACTTTTATTTAAAGTTCAGGGGTACATGTGCTTTGTTACATAGGTAAATTTGTGTCATGGGGGTTTGTTGTATGGATTATTTCATCACCCAGCTGTTAATCCTATTGCCTATTAGTTATTTTTCCTGATCCTCTTTCTTCTCCCACGCTCTACCCTCCAATAGAATCCAGTGTGTTTTGTTCCCCTCTATATGTCTATGTGTTCTCATCATTTAGCTCCCACTTATAAGTGATAACATGTAGTATTTTTTTTTTTTTGGTTCCTGCATTAGTTTGCTATGGATAAGGGCTTCCAGCTGCATCTATGTCCCTGCAAAGGGCATGATCTTATTCATTTTTATGGCTGCATAGTGTTCCATGTTGTATATGTACCACATTTTCTTTATCAAGTCTATCATTGATGGGCATTTAGGCTAATTCCATGCCTTTGCTATTGTGAATAGTGCTGCAATGAACATATGCATGCATGTGTCTTTATAATAGAATGATTTACATTTCTTTGGGTATATACTAAGTAATGAGATTGCTGGGTCAAATGGCATTTCTGTCTTTAGGACTTTGAGAAATAATGGCTGGCCTCTTTCATTTATTATAATGTTTTCAGTGTAACACATGTCAGAGTTTTCTTCCTTTTTGTATAATATTCCATTGTGTGTATATACCACATTTTATTCATCTGTTGATAGGCCCTTGGGTTGTTTCCATCTTTGGCTATTGTAAATAATAATGTAATGAAAATTGCTGTACAAATATCTGTTCAAGTCCCCACTTTCAATTCATTTAGTTATATGCCCAGAAGCGGAATTGCTGAATTATATGGTAAACCTATGTTTTATTTTTTGCAGACCCATCCTGCTGTTTTCCACAGTGGCTGCACCATTTTACATTCCCAGCAGCATACACAATGTCTTCAATATCTGCATATGTATGCCAACACTTGGTATTTTCTGTTTGTTTGTTTGTTTTATAATAAACATCATAATGGGGGTGCAGTAGTATCTCATGGTATTGATTTTTATTTCCCTACTGATTGCCGATGCTCAAAACCTTTTCATGTGCTTATCAGTGATTCCTATATCTTATTTGTAGAAATGTCTATTCAAGTCTGTTCTATCTGAGTTGTTTGGTTTTGCTTGTTGAGTTATAGGAGCTCTTTATATATTATAGATATAATCCTATATCAGATATATGATTAGCAAATATTTTCTCCCATATTTTGGGTTGTCTTTTCACTCTATTTATAGTTCTGTTTGATACACAATTTTTAACTTTGATGAAGTCCATTTTGTCTATCATTGTAACCTAGTTTCCTAAGAAATCCTTGCTAAATCCAATGTTATGATGTTCTCTTAACCTCTCTTCTAAAAGTTCTTTAGTTTTAGTTCAATGTTTAAGCATTTGATTTATATTGACTTAACTTTTGTACGTGACCTGAGGTAAGGGTCAAATTTTATTCTATTGCATATATAAATCCAGTTTTTAAATAGCAATTTGTTGGAGAAACTATCCCTTTTCCCCTTGAATGACATACTCGTGAAAATTATATGACCATATGCCTTAGTCTGGTTTTGCTGCTATGATAGAATATCATAGACTGAATAATTTATAATGAACAGAAATTTGTTGGCTCAGAGTTCTGAATGCTGCGAAGTTCAATATTGAGAGCCTGGCATCTTGAGATGGCCATCTTGCTATGTCATCCCATGGTGGAAGGTTAAAGAGAGGGTGAGAGAGATAAAAGGGGGCCAAATTAATCATTTCATAAGGGACCCACTCATACAGTAATTACATTAATCCTTTGATGAAGGAAGCATTCTTATGGCCTAATTATCTCTTAAAATTCCTACCACTTAATATTCTTACAATGGCAAAATAAATTTCAACATGAGTCTTGGAGGGGCCAAACATTCAAACCATAGCAACGTATATATGAGTTTTTTTTTCTTAGCTCTCTATTATATTTTATTCATGTATTGGACTGTACAATGCAATACTGTAATGCCGGTATTACATTGATTATTGCAACATAGTAGTAGTAGTGAGTTTTGAAATTAGGAAGTGTGAACCCTCCAACTTTGTTTGTCATTTAATTTTTTTTGCCCATTTAGGTTCCCTTGATATTCCATATAAATTTTAAAATGGGTTTTCTATTTCTCAAAAATAATGTCATTGGACATTAATAGAGTTTGCATTGAATCTGTACACCATTTTGAGTAGTGCTGACATCTTGACAATATTAAGTCTTCCAGTACGTGAATTTTATTAAATGCTTTTTCTACATCTATTGAGATGATTATATGTTTTTTGTTTTTAATTCGATTTATGTGGAGAATCACATTTATTGATTTGCATAAATTGATCCATTTTTGCACCCCCAAAATAAAACCCAATTAATCGTGGTGAATTAACTTTTTGATGTGCTGCTGGATTCAGTTTGCTAGTATTTTGTTGAGGATTTTTGTGTCTATGTTGGTCAGGAATACTGGCCTGTAGTTTTTTTTGTTGTTGTTGTTTTCTGTGTCTTTGCTAGATTTTGGTATCAGGATGATACTGGTTTTGTAGAATGAGTTATGAAAGAGTCCATTTTCCTTTCTTTTTCAAGCAGTTTCAGTATAATTGGTATCAACTCTTCTTTATACATCTGGTACACATAGAGTGCCTTTTCATTTATTTGTGTCATCTTTAAGTTTTTCCATAAAGTTTTATAGTTTTCAGTGTAGTCGTTTTTCTCCTTGGCTAAGTTTATTTCCAAGTATTATATTTTTAACCAATTTGCATCTTTACGTATATATCGAGACTTGTGTAAATAGCATAGGGTTGGATCATGTTTTTTATTCATTATGCCAATCTATATATTTTGATAGTAGAGTTTAGTTAATTTACATTTAAAGTAATTAATAAGAAATGACTTATTGCCATTTTATCATTTTTTTCTCTATTAGTTGTAGCTCTTTTTTTGCCCTCAATTTCCTCTTTTATTGCATTTTGCATGTGGTTAATTTCTGAAAGTAACACATGTTGATTCCCTTCTCATTTGCTTTAGGCTATAGTGTATAGATATTTTCGTTGTTGTTTCCATAGGTATTTCAGTTAAAATTCTAAAGTTATGTCAACGTAATTTGAATTGATACCAACTTAACTTTAATTGCATACAAAAGCTCTCATCCTGTATAGATTTATACCCTCTCCACTATATGTTACTGATGGCAAAATAATACATCTTTGTACATTGTGTACCCATTAACATAAAATTATAATTATTTGTATGTATACTTCTCTTAAAATCTACAGAAAATAAAAATTTATAAACCAAAATTACAATAATACTCTTTTTTATAATTTCCCATTTCTTTGCTCTTATCTATAATCTTTGTATGTTCATATGCCACTTTCTAGTGTCCCTTTATTGAACCTGCAGGGCTCCCTTTAACATTTTTTTGTTGGACATGTCCTTTACTGCAAATAAGCTTCTTCAGCTTTCATTTATCAGGGAGTGTCTTAATTTCCCCCTGATTTTTGAAGGATAGCTTTGCAACATACAGAATTCTTAGTTGACAGGTACTTTTGTTTTCCTTTCAGCACTTTAAATCTATCAACCACCGTATTCTGGCCTTCTAGGTTTATTCTTCAAATTATGCTGATCACTTTATTAAGAACCACTTACCTACTATGAGTCACTGCTTTCTTTTTGGTTTCAAGATTTTGTCTTTGTCTTTTATCTGTTTAATTATTTAAAATATGTCTCAGTGTAGATCTCTGGGTTTACCTTACTTGGAGTTTCTAGCACTCCTTGGATTTGTAGATCAATGTTTTCCATCACATTTGGGAAGTTTGGGTCAGTATTTAACAATATTGGTGGTTCTTTAACTCTTCTCCTTCTGAGATTTCTATAATATGTATATTGGTTAACATGATGGTGTTCCATAAATCCCTTAAGCTATGCTCACTTTTTTATTCTTTTTTGCTTTCTGCTTCTCAAATGTAAATGTATTTATTATCCTGTCTTCAGTTTAGCTGATTCTTTTTCTGATTGCCCAAATCTGCTATTGAAATCCTCTACTAAATTTTTCTATTATTTATTTAGTTATTTTAGTTTTCAGCTCCAGAAATTATTTATAGTTTCTTTTTATAATGGCACTTTGTTGAAATTCTTATTTTGTTAATAAAGTGCTGTGTGGTCATAATGAGTAGGAGGCATCACTGATATTTAGTTACTGGGGACCAGGTGTGTTAAATATGTGGGAATTAATGGGATAGTTTGAGAATCACTGGCTTAAATTGTTTAAAATTAGTATATTAAATTTGATATGCAATGTGCTTATCTATCTGATTATTTTGTCTCAATAAGACAGTAATTTCAGAATGTAAAAACAAATTAGTAAAGGTGTTTCACATGCCTTTTGCATGTTAAAATGATATGCCAAATCAGTATGCAAATTTTTCTTAATGCTTCAAGCTTTCAGTCTGATAGTGGTAACTTTAAACAGTACAAATGATTCTAAGTCTTAAAACAGGCATTTTGTAAACAGAAGACTGATGTACAGAGAGGCATACTTACATCTGAGTTACTTTATACATATCAAAATACTATTGTGAGAGTGTGTTCTATTATTGTTTTTTTTTTTTGTTTAGTTTGTTTCTTACCTAATCTAACTATGGATATGTACAAATCAAAAATAGCAAGTAAATACAGTTTATGTTTATCCAAGTAATTTAAGCAAGGGATATTCCAATGTTGTTAATTTTCCTTCAATGAAAATATGAAGCAGGAAACCATCATTCTCAGAAAACTAACATAGGAACAGAAAATCAAATACTGCATATTCTCACTCATAAGTGGGAGTTGAACGATGAGAACACGTGGACACACGGAGGGGAACAACATCACGCACTGGGGCCTATCTGGGGGTGGGGGGCAAGGGGAGGGAGAACATTAGGACAAATACCTAATGCATGTGGGGCTTAAAACCTAGATGATTAGTTGATGAGTGCAGCAAACCACCATGTCACATGTACCTATGTAACAAACCTGCACATTCTGAGCATGTATCCCAGAACTTAAAGTTTGATAAATAATAAAAAAGAAAATACGCACCTTATTTCTCAGGAAGCAGCAGTGTAATTTCTGCCAGACTCAGGTTAATATAATACTTATCATTGATGTGCTATCCCATATGCCCTTGGCTCATCTGAGCTGACAGCTTTCCACCTCGAGTGCCTTTGTCTTTCGGTTTCTCTAACTGGAGACTTTCTCTGGCATTTCAGTAGCCTGGTAAGACCACTTGCAAGACAGTTCAGTGCTGCTGGAAATTCAACCCCCTAGAGTAATCTTCGCCTAATGCAGTATGGTAGATAAATAGCTCAGCATTCTCACTCCTTCATAGGATTATTTTGAGACACACTTTGTGTGGTTCTTCAGAGGGTCTCCAGTGGGATTGAGTCACAGTTTCCAAAGTGCACACTCTCTACTGAATTTTTTCTGTCCCTTCTCTCACTTTTCTAATTTTTGCTTCCTGAGATACCACTTTCAAATTATCTTCATGCAAGCTTGTCCTAGGTGTCTGCTTTTGTGGGAATCCAAATTAAGACAATTAATAATCATGCTCATTTATATTAGCATCATTTGTACCTGTGGGAAGAAAATATCAGTACATGACTTTGCCAGGGATCTCAAATATAATTTTAGAGTTTTTTCCAGGTCTTCTGCATGAACTTCCAATAGGTTTTCTTTCATCTATTTTGATGCTTTTATTATGCAAAATAGTTAGGCATAGATAGTACTTTTTGTCAATATAAAATTATGCTATTTTGTTTTATTGATTAAGATTAAATTTTATATTATCTGATAAGCATTCAGTCCCAGCTTAATCCTAAGGGCATTCACATTGATTTATATATACCTAATTAATTGATAATTAGGACTCAGATGATCATTTGCCTGAGTTATTAAGAGATTTCTAGAAACTCATCCAGGTGATATAAGTAAAATGAGCTTGACACCATAAGACAGCCCTAGTCATCTGAAAGTGAGCCATATCAGTGCTGCATGAGAATCATCTCTCAGATTTATTTTAAGCATTCACTCAGTCAGTATGTATGTACTGAATATCTACTGCCTATACAGCCCAGTCCCCACTGAATATGTTTCTGACTGTAATGGAAAACAAGGGTTCCATAAGGCTTTGAGATAAAGAATTACTGTTTGGAATATCTCTAAGTGAAGGTAAACATAAGACAAAAGAGAAATTAGGCATTTAATATTTATTTCAACAAAACACTATGCACCTCAGTGCTTCAATGATTCTAGTGCTTCAATGATTCTAGTGCTTCAACTATTGCAGGAGAGAGTAATATCTGGTCATGGTAGTCATAAGGACTATATACACATATTCCAATATAATTCTTCCTCAAATAATTCAACATTCTCTCCACTTATTAAGTTAGATAAAACAATTATACTTGTTTTGGCCAAGAAACTGTGGATAAAAATGGCTTATATTATTTCTTAGTTAAAACTTTATGAGCCAATGCATAATTTCTACAATTCCTTCCTCCTGCTATGATGGATGTGAAAGTGGCTCTTGTAATGAAGTTTCTGCCATCCTGGATCCCTAAGTGATCCACTGTGGGTACATAGTATGAAATAGAAATATGCCTGTATGGTTTAAAGAACTGAAATGTTGAAGTCAGTTGTTATTGTAACATATCTAGATTATTATAATTGCTATACCAGTATAAGCCCCGTGATGAATAACTGTTTTTACAAACACAACAGTGTCCAGTAGATCCCCAGTGGAAGGTAGAATAACTGGAAACATCGAAAGTAGGGGAATTTCTTGTGAGCATGTGTGAAATTCACTCTAGGTACTCCAGAAAACACAAAAGGTTAAGGGATTTGAGATTTTGCAGTGAGCTGAATGTCTTTCTGCATAGCATGTAGAAGCAGAAGCCATTAGCCATTGAGTCATTAATAAGATATTGTTTTACTTGGAGTAGTGTTATCTGGGGAAACGAGTTATGTGCTTTCACACAACTTCAAAGTTTTAGGCTGTTTGTGAGATTTTTTTCTCTTATAGGTTTAAAAACTGTCAAATTTACATTTTATTTTGTTTTAGAAGTTTTTATTGTAGGTCTTCTTTTATTATAGGACTATTATTTTGTAACTTTTATAATCAAATATGAGTTATTTTTGACACTTATTTTTGGGAATCCAATGCATTTATACAATTTATTGTAATTAATAGGTTTGATCCTACTCCTGTCATCTTGTTTGATGTTTTTAATTTATTTTATTTCTTTGATATTTTCTTTTGTTCTTTTGCTACATAAACAATAGATTATTTGCCTTTTTATTCTTGTAATATTTTGAAAGACAATCATAACATATTAAAATTCTATTGGAGTTTAATAAAAAATATTCCCAAACACTTTGAAATTATATTTAGATTATTAATATAGATAATGGCAGTATAGCAACTTATGAGTTTATTTTTCCTTTTAGTCCCAGAAAATATCTAGAGTCCGGTATTTTTGTCATTTCAAATACTTTTAGACCAAGGCAGGAAGGCAATTTTATATCTTAAAAGAAAAACAAATGCAAAATCTATTCTAGTAATTAAACTGGATGTGGATTGCACAATTATTTGAGTAGGAAAATTACAAGTAAAAAAAATGGAAAAATAAAAGGAAAAATTAAAGTAACCAGAAATAAACATTAGAGAGAAAATGGTATTCTTATATATTTAATTTTAAATGTATACTTGACAAATAATCATTGTACATACATTTAGGCCACAATGTCTAAATTCATGTATACATACTATAATGATCAAATTGTGGCAATTACCATATCTGTCACTTTAAACATTTAGCATTTCTTTGTCGTGACAACATTCAAAATCTTCCATCTATCTTGAAATATATAATGCATTATTATTTGCCATAGTCACCCTAGTGTGTAATAGAACACCAAAACTTATTCTTCTTGTAACTTTTTATCCACTGACCAACTTTCCTTGTTTCACCCTGCCCCTTACTATCTCCAGCCTCTATTAACCACCATTCTAATCTCTCCTTCTATAAAATCAACTTTTTTAGAAATCAGTAGGTCAAAAAGACATCTGCACTCTCAGGTTTATTATAGCACTATTCACAATAGGCAATATATGGAATCAACCTAAAAACCTTTCTTTGAAAACAAAGGCTGATAATCCTCTAGCAAAACTGTTCAAGAAAAAAAAATAGAAAATATATGGATTTAAAACATTAAGAATGAAAGAAGTCTTTTGAAAAAACCCTTAATACTTACTTTAAAACACTCAAAAAGGGTTACATGTAGTCATGTCAGTAAGATAAAATAAGAGGTACCCCTCTGGCATTCACCCACACAAACAGTGATCTGACAACTATCCACAGAAAAAAAGTCCCCTTGTGGAAGCTTTGGGCTCCAGGTTGGAGACTGCAAAACCCCAGTGAAGCCAAAGACTAAGGAAAGGTGCTTTGAAAAGGGAGGCCTACACTCTGGTTGTAGTTCACTCAATATGGTTCTAGCTCCAGACTGAAAGCAACCCTGTCCTCTATGAATTCAACTCCAGGGTCACTTGGCTGTAGTCTTGTAACCAGCTCCATCCACCAAAGGACCCCAGGAGGAACCACACTTGTCCACATCCCTGGAAAAAGGCTGGCTGATGTCATCCCCAACTGGGAATCCTGAAATGCCCTTTAACCCAGCTATAGCCCTTCTCTAATGTAGTTATGAGTCATTCCTGCTTGCCCAGGGACACAGCGAAGGAAAATTTTAAATATAGAAAACAGGAAAAGAGTATGTATTCCATAATTTATTGAAACACCCAAATAGAAAAAAGAAAAAAAAAACATTAGTACTGAACAAATACGTAGTAATATAATTCAAGAAAGCTGCTTTAAAATAAAAGACTTTAATCTATATATATAAAAAGCATTTTATATCTTATTGTATAAACTTTTAACTGTTCATTGGAATATAACATAAATACAGAAACTGCACAAGTCAGATATGTGCAGATTGACATTTTTTCCTAAAATTAAACATGTCCATGTATTCAGCACCCCGATCAAGAAGGAGAACATAAAAAACACCCTAGAAATCTCAAGATCTCTTCTAATTATGTAAAAGTAACCACTGTTCAGGCAAAACAAAAGTAATCACCGTCGTGACCTACACAATAAATTAGTTTTGCTTGAATGTGAATTTCATATAGAATAAGTTATATATTTTCTACACTATGCCTGGCTTCTTTCATTCAATATGGGATAGTAGGAAATTCTTGTATAAAGATGTGGTTTGTTCATTCACAGTTATTATATAATATTCCATTATGTGAATATAGAATAATTTATCCATTCTACTGTTTCTAATCATTTAGTTAGTTTCCACTTGAAGTTTATTATAAATAAGATTGCTGTGAAATGCCTTGTACTTGTCTTTTAGTATACACACACATACATTTCTCTTGGGTTTATACTTAGGAATGTAATTTCTGAGTCATAAGTAGAAGTAAATTCAGTTTTAATTGATTATATCAAAGAGCTTTTCAAAGTTTTTGTCCAAATTTACACATTCAACGAAGCATAAGTTTCAGTTTTTCTACAATCTCATTCACATATGCTATTATAAGATGTTTTTAAATTTTAAGTCATTCAGGCGACTATATAATGGCATCAGACTGTGATTCTATTATGCATTTCACTAATGAAAAATAATGTCAAGAACCCTTGCATAATTTCCTTTAACAATTTAAAATATATTTCACAGAATGCCTTTTCAAATATTTGTCCATATTATTCAATTCACCTTACTTTCTTTTTATTAATATTTGAAGATATTTTTATATTTTGGGGGACATGATTTTTTTGTAGCATATATATTATACATAACAATATGTGTGTGTATGTGTGTGTGTGTGTATACACATACATAGGTCCCTAGCCTACCTGCCTACATGAGCCTATATGAGCAATTCTTTAAAATAAATTTCTTAAAATAAATATTTAAAATATGTATGTATATAAATATGTATGTATCTATATATACATAAAATATGTTATCACTTTTGGAGAGTTAACCCTTTACTTCTCTCATAATGGTGCCTTTTGGTGAATATGAAGTTTTCATCTTAACAGTTTAGTAACATTTATCAATACAGTTCCTTTATTCTTACTGTTGTTTTGTTGTTGTTGTTTTGGTTTTCCATTTAAGAAATTATTGCTTATATCAAGGTGATGAGAATATTATTTTATTTTCATCTTATACCTCTGTTGTTTTACCTTTCAAATACAGATATCCCATCGATGTCCAGTTAGATCTTTGTGTATGATACAAGGATCAATATTTTTTATAACAAGACCAGGAGAGGTGGCTCAGGTCTATAATCCCAGCACTTTGGGAGGCCAAGTTGGGCGGATCACTTGAGGTCAAAAGTTCCAGACCAGCCTGGCCAACATGCATGGTGAAACTCTTTCTCTACTAAAAATACAAAAATTAGTCAGGCGTGATGGCACATGCCTGTAGTCCCAGCTACCCAAGAGGCTGAGTCAGGAGAATCACTTGAACCCCAGAGGCGGAGCTTGCAGTGAGCTGAGGTCGTGCCACTGCACTCCAACATGGGAGACAGAGTAAGATTTCCTCTCTCTCTCTCTCTCTCTCTATAAATAAATATATATATATGTATTTTTATGTATATGTGTATATATATATAACAATATCCAATTAATTAGGTACAATTTACTGAATAAATCAATTATCCATTTATGATTACATTATACTGTTACGTTTGCCATGAATCCTATTCTTGACTCTATTTAATCCCATTGATTTATTGATGCCAATGCTTCACTGTCTTAATCATTGTAGTTTCATAATAGGCCTCAGTGAATTGTTTCCCCAGAAAATTAACCTGTTAGATTAAATTTTTAGAAATATGCTATTAAAACATTAGATTTTAAGGAAAACGATTTTTGAACAAAGACAAAAATAAAGTCATTTATAAGAGAAAAATTAGAATAACACCAAATATACTTCATCTTTCTATGCCACAAGATACTAGAGCAACATGTACAACACACTCAAAAAGAGAATGCATAAGTCAAAGATTATATTTTCAGCTGAACCATCTATAATGGTTAATTTACAGGCTACAGTACCCAGATACTTGGTCAAACATTATCCTAGATGTTACAGTAAAGGTATTTGGGGGATGAAATTACTAATTAGTGGATTCTGAATAAGGAGATTACTCTTCATAAAGTGAGTGGTCCTCATGCAATCACATGAAGGCCTTAATAGAAAAAGACTGACTTCCCTCAAAGAGGGAATTTTGCAAGTAGTCTGCCTTTAAACTCAAACTGAAGTATGAACTGTTCCATTAGTCTACAGCCTACCATCCTACCCTGCACATTTTGAGCTTTCTAGTCCACACAATTACATGAGCAATTATTTAAAATAAATATATCTTTCTCTCTTTTTCTCTTTATCCTCTGTATTCAAATACACATATCCAACACACACACACACACACACACACTATATTTGGTTTTGTTTCTCTGAGGATCCCTGAATAACACACTTTACTTAAAAAGTAAAAGCTACAGAAAAACAGATTTGAATGAGTAAGAATTTAGGCAATATTGATGAAAAGGTGTTACTTTAGAAAACTAATTCCAAATCAACCAAGTGATGTGAGGGGGAGTTTGAGCAACAGGACTTACAGTGGGCATTACTTATGTTTAATTGCAAGTCTAATCTCAAATGAGAAAAAACCAATTTGCTAAGGGAAACAGAAAACATTGTAAAGTTTATATAGTTTGATAGTATAGAAATTATTCAACTAACAAATATGGGAATGATTAAAAAAAGGTGGAAAGTAGAGTAAGCTCACTAACAGCCCTATGACTAAAACATTTGAAGCTAACATGTCAGATAATTGAAATTTAAACCTACCTAAGAATTCAAACATAAACACTAAGAAAACTAACACTGAAGTAATTCTGGTTGTGGAGAAACAGGACTCAAGGTTATTCCATTTTTATTTAGAGTAGATAATTAATGAAGAGTATATAGTAAAAAGGAAGTTCAGAAAATATTTTATTTAAAAATATAATGATAAATCTAATAAGTATATTTCATATGAAAGATTTCAAAACAAAGATAAAATGTCATACTAATAATGTCATTGAATATAAAGAGGTTTAATTCATGTATTTTTTTTTCAGATTATACCTCAAAGCAAAAACAAATTCTGTACTTTAAATGACAGATATGAAAACAATGTAATTGAGAAGAGAATAGAATGTAAATGAATGGGCAAAGTTATATCAGAAAATGCCAAAAAATTGAAGTTCACAATCTTAATATCAAATATCAGAATTAGAGTAAAATTCATAAAATTAGACAATATGAGTGGTTAAAATGCTAAAGAATGTAATTCAAGCTGAAACTATAACATTCATGAATCCCCATGCTGTAACATCACAGTTTTCTAAAACATAGAAATTATAGTAGCAAAAGTAAACAGAAAAGCAACAATAACAGAAGAGGTTAATTCACTTCTCTCAGTCAATAACTGATAAAATGAACAAATAATAAGCATACCAAGATACTAAACCAAGTAATGAAAAGGTAGGTCTTGTGAATATATGTAAATTTTGTGCTCTAATAATACAAGATACACAATATTAAGTACATACAGAACATTAATTTAAAAAACTACCTTTACAGAAAATCCTAAAATAATAAATTCCAAAAGTAGAAATAATGCAGATACTATCTTTTGATCACATTTCATTTAACCCAGAAAATTCTAAAACATAGAAAGCGGAATTCATTGATCTAGACACACTATAAGCATCATTCCATCCTGACAGGTAAAAGCTACAGAAAGTGAAAATTATATTCTTCTTAGGTAATCAGAGAACTGTAGTTATTGGCCAAACTGCTGTGCCCAGAACTAGAGAGATAGACAGACTTGCACAGAGAATCACAACTTACCTAGTAGAAACAAAGGAGCATAAATCTCCATGAAAACAAATATTGAGTTCCTTTTACCCAGTACATCATGTTCAAAAAAATTGAGTGAGTGAAAAAAAATTTAGTGAAGCATACTAAAAAGCAAAAGAACAGAGTTGAGAGAGACACTGCAAGCAAACATGTAAGCATCAGAATCAGACACCAATGTTGTAAAGATATTGGAATTATAAGACTGGAGATTTAAAAGAACTATGATAAATATGCTAAAGATTTAATGGAAAAAGTAGACAACATGCAATAATAGATGGGGAACATGAGGAGAGAGATAGGAGTTATATGAATGAACTAAAAAGAAAAATTGGAAATGCAAAACTCTAGCAGAAAAAAAATGTCTTTGATGGGCTGGCTCATTAGTAGAATAGACATGCATGAGGAAGGAATCAGTGAACTTGATATGTCAATTAAAAAACTTTTAAAATAAAAACAAACAGAAAAAAGACTGAAAAATTGAATAGAATATCCAACAATTATTAGACAACTACAATATTTGTAATATACATGTGATGGAAATACTAGGAGGAGAAGAAAGAGAGAAAGGAACTTAAGAAATATTTGAAGCAAGAAAGTCTAGGAATTTTCCCAAATCAATGTCTTGACATCAAATTATAGATCTAGAAAACTCAGAGAACACCATGCAACACAAATATCTAAAAATCTACACATATGCTTATAATATTCAAATCAAAGGAAATCAAAATTAGAGAAAAATTCTACAATAAAGCAGAAGTGGAGAAAAACTCTCACCTAGAGAAGGACAAAAATAAAAATTATATCAGATGTCTCCTTAGAAACCATGCAAGCAAAAAGATAGTGAAATATAATATTTAAAGCATTGACAAAACACACCAAATTAGAATTACGTACCCTTTGAAAATATTCTTCAGATTTTAAGAAGAAATGAAGACTTTTTTGGACAAACAAAAATTGAGGAAACTTGTTGCTAGTTGACCAGCCTTACAAGACATTTTATCCTGGAGGCAGAGCAAGATGGCTGAAAAGAAGCCTCCAGTGGTAATACACTCCCCGTTCCCCCGACCATCAGCAACAACAAATTGAACAACTATCCACGCAAAAAAAAAAAAAAAAAAAAAAAAAAAACCACCAAAAATATTAAAAAAAGAAATGAAAGAATAAAAAAGCACCTTTATAAGAACTGAAAATCACGTGAGCAATCACCGTACCTGTCTTTATATTTAGGCACTGAAGAGGGCAGAAAATACATCTCGAATTGCTTACAACACCCCTCTCCCATCTCTTGGCTATAGCTGCATGGTGCAGGAAAAGAATCTGTGCAGTTGAGAGAGGGAGAGTACAGTGAATATGAGACTTGAATTGTAACTCAGTGCTGCCTGTCACAGCAGAAACCAATACTGGGCTGAATTCAGCCAGCGTCCTCACAGGGAGCATTTATTCCAGCCCTAGAAGAGGGAAAGTGCCCATTCCAGTAGTCGAACCTGAGTTCTGGCAAGCCTTGCCACCATGAACTAAAATGCTTGGGTGTTCTAAATAAACTTGAAAGGCAGTCTAGGTCATAACGGGTGCAATTCTTGGGCAAGTCCTGGTACTGCGCTGGGCTTGGAACCAATAAACATTAGGGGGCACGTGACCCAGTGGGACACCAGTGGAGGCATCCAAAAGAGTGCTTGTTCTACCTTTCATCTGACTCCAGGCAGTGCAGCTTGCATCTCCAGGAGAGACTCCCTTTTCTTGAGGACAGAAGAATAAAGAATAAATAGGACTTTGTCTTACAACTTGGATACCAGCTCAACCACAGTAAAATAGGGTACTGGGCAGACCCCTGAGGCCCCATTCCAATCCCTTGTTCCTTATCTCACAGACCCAAAACGCAACACAATCCATAGCTGCTGGGCACAATAAAACCTACTGGTCTCCACCAGAGTCATGTGAATAATCTCCCCCTTTTGCAAGTGTTTTATTTAAACTAGCAAATCCAGAACCCCTGCAAAAAAGTCTAAGGAATAGTGCCCATGGACCTTAATAAACACACAGTCCCACATGTCTTCTCTCTCTCTCTTTCTCTCTCTCTCTCTCTCTCTCTATATATATATAATATTTTTTCTCTCACTCTCTCTAGCTTCTCACATGTTAGTTAAGCTCCCTGTCACCTCAGAAATCCCCATTGTCCCCCCACTGGCATCCCTTACTTCTCTAGAACTGTGAGTAATGAATGCCTTCTGTTTTATAAATTTTAATTTCATCTATTCGTTGTGCCTCATCTGATGGACACACCAGAATCGTACTTTCCCTGTCTAGTCAGGGCTTTCCTAGGAGTAACAATTTTGGCTTTTGCTCACTCCCGAGAGAGCAACCTCAAGACCAAATTAGAAATAAACCATAACAATAGAAAGCACAACAGGCCCAGATGATGGTATTAGAGTCTATAAGAAGAGACGGTAGACAGCTTGCTCTCTTACATGTCTGCCATGTGATGACACAGTGAGAGGGCAGCTGTCTGCAAGATAAGAAGAGAGACCTCAATAGAATCTGACAATACTGGCACATGTATCTTGGCCATAAAGCCTGTGATATTTTTGTTATGTCAGCTCAGTTGACTGACATATATCTGTTATTCAAAATATATAAGGAACTCCTAAAACTTAACAATAAGTTATAAAAATTCAATTAAAAAATGGACTAAAGAGCTGAACATAAACCTCACCATAGAAGACATACCATTGGCAAACACACATGAAAATGTTCTCCACCTTATATGCCATTTGCGAATTGCAAATGTAAAAAACTAGATACCACTAAAGGTCTATTTGAATGGTGAAATTCTAAATGCTAAATTCACCAAATGCTGGTGAGAGTATGAAGCAACAGCATTTCTCATTCATCACTGGTGAAAATACAAAAACGGCACAACCACTTTGAAAGATAGTTTGGCAGTTCGTAACACAATTATATATGCTCTTACTATAACTTCCAGTAACTGTGCTCCTTGGCATATAACAAATGAGTTGAAAACTTAGGCCCACGTAAAATTCTACACATAGACATTTATAGCAGCTTTCTTCATAATTCCAAAACTTGGAAGCAACTAAGATGTTTTTCTGTTGGTGAATGTATAAACAAACTGTGGTACATCCAGAAAATAAAGTATTATTCAATGCTAAAAGGAAATGAGCTATTAAACCATGAGAAGGCATGGAAAGACCTTTAGTCTATATTACTTAGTGAAAGAAACCAACTCGTAAAGGTTACAGAGTTTATTATTCCAGGTACATGACATTCTGAAGAAGGCAAAACTATGAAGGCAGTAAAAAACATCATTGGACTCCAGAGGTAGACGTGGGATGTGGGGTAGGGAGGAATGAATAGCTGGAGCACAGATAATTTTTAGGGCAGTGAAACTATTCTGCATGAAAGTATAATAGTGGATACATGTAAGTATATATTTGTCAAAACCCATGGATTGTACAACATCAAGAGCGATCCTTAATGTACACTGTGTTGAACTTTGGGTGATAATGATATGTCGATTTAGGTTCATTGGTAGTAACGAATGTACCACTCTGGTGTGAAATTCTGGTAGTGGGAGAAGCTCTATGTGTGGGTGGTCAGGCAGTATACGGGAACAATACACTTTCTGCTCAGTTTTGCTCCGAAACTAATACAACTCTAAAAAAAAGGCTACTTAAATAAATGGAATACCAAAAGGCCCATCAATGTGGAAACTTCTTATCATAAAAGTTCTATGTTAAATAACCCTTGGGTAAAAGAAGGAATGCAAATAGAGATCAAATATTTTCTAACAAATGATAATGGAGATGCTAGCAAAATCTATGGGATATTAGTAATGCATAAAATACTAACAATAAATTAATGAAGTAAAAAGAAAAAGTAGAAATAATAAATTTAAAAGCTGGTATTTAAAAGCAAATGTAAATTATTGACAAACTATCAAGAAGAATCAGAGAAGGCAAACATACACAATATAAAAAATGAAAAGTTGGTTCCTTCTTCTCTGAGGAAAATGGAGAAGACATATTTTTTTTCTTATTCCTCCAATCAAATACAACTAAAAGCACTTAAAATTGTATGCAATACAAATATAAGAAGATGACTGGATAGTAGAGAAAAAAAACAAATTGGGTAGTGAACTCAAGGCCCAAAGGATGACATGGTAGTGAGGTCGCTGAGTTTCCTTTCACCTGGTATATCCCAGGATGGGTGCTGGAAAAGCCAGTAATACAGACACACCAATGAGTGCCAACAAAAAGAGACCCAAGAAAACCTGTTTCATCTTGTCAAAAAAAAACAAAAAACAATGTAGCCTCGAAGGACAGGAAACTTTCAAATAATAATTCCACAACTCCATGCAAACACTACAGAATAAAACTATGCCCTACTCCATTCACACCAGCAACTGCCAAATAGGGAAACTAGACTTTCACCCTTGCATGGCTGTAATGACTTGCCACAACACTCCTACTGAGGTGGTGTCTGGGAAGGCCAAGTAAGATCCTAAGATTTGCATCCCCATTTACTGGTAGTAATCCTCAGCATGCATTTTAAGTGGGTTTAAAAACACATAGGACAATATATAAAGTATCAACTTTTGATTAAAAAGGGGGTTATAATGGTTTTTCACAGCCCCTTGTATTTGCTTAAAGAAGTATTTGAAAGCTACATAAAAGATAAATTTTAAAAAATAGTTTTCTATAGAAGATAGGAGGAAGAGTAGAGTGAATATATGCATGTGTGATGCATATACATATATAATGCATATAATTGTATATTATATCTAAATATATCATTGTAAATGATTGTTTAAATGAACAAAATGAATAAATACATAATATTATAATGTGTGCATATATTTATACAGATTCTCTGGAATAATAGGTATGTATTACCTATTTACAAAGAGTCAAACAAAATTAAAAGAAAATCATTGGAAAAGCAATACTAGGCAAATGCTAAAAAAAAAATAAAGTAAATGTAATCTTGCCGTCAGAGAATTTGAAATAGAGGCTCACAAATCTCTACAGAAGACAATAAAGAACATTTTATAATGCTAAAGGCTACAGTTCAAAAGAGGAATATAAAAATGACTCTTTACACATCAGATATTACAGTAGCAAGTGTCGGTGAAAATAAACTAAAGCAGATAAAACATAATAAAATGAAATCCAATGGAAGACTTCTATTTAAACCTTTGAGTACATAATGAATTAAACGTACATAATTTAAAAAGTGTATTGAAGATCTAAGTTATATAATTAATAAAGGAGATATGAATTTATGTATGTATATGTATTTTATGGATATGTATTCTATATCAAGGCAACTGATAATATACCTCTGGGATATACATGGAAATCACCATCTAGTAGGTCCTTGATATACAAGAATCAGCAGTGTCAGTGTTACCAAGGGCTGCGTCAGAAATGTTGAATTTTAGACCTTTCCCCAGGCATGCTGTATCTGAATTTGTTTAACAATATCCCCAGGTGATTTGTATGTGTATTAAAGTTTAATGAGTACTTACTAGGCTACACAAAATCCTCATTTAATTCCACAAATTAAACATTATCTAACCTTAATACTACAAAACTAGAAATTATTAAAAAATTAGAAAACATATTTTTTACCTAGAAATTGAGAAAACAAATGTTTCAAATAATTCTAGAATCAATCTAAAATTAAAATTATTCATTTGCCAAATAAGCTACTTAGTTGAATTTCTTTCATTATCTATGTTTAAAAATATTATATTTATCAAAATTGTTTCATGCTAAATTATATATAGCCTAATGCATAAAAGATGTTACAGCACATTTGATCTGTAATACAGTAACGGAACATTACAGAAGAAAATAATGCAGGATGCTCCTAACAAGAAGGCAAAGGTCATATGCTTTGATGCAAATCTGCATTAAAATTAACTCCGGATTTAAACACACATATTATGGCTTAAATTTCTATAAAGATGTGTTACTATGAAAAGCTCGTAATCTCCAACCTTTCTTACTAAAGGAACATAGTCAACATAATTGCAGACCCATTTTGGAGCCTACTTCCTTTTCTGGCTGAAAACAAAACAGAAAACTTACAAAGCTACGCAGTACTTTTATAGCAAGCATTCTTCACACATAAAAATGGTCAATGTTCTTCAAGGAGTGGATATATTTCTCTAAGTTTAAAATCTGTTTTTTTATTATTATTATACTTTAAGTTCTGGGATACATGTGCAGAACGTGCAGGTTTGTTACATAGGTATATACTTGCCATGGTGATTTGCTGCACCCACAAACACGTCATCTACATTAGGTATTTCTCCTAATGCTATCCCTCCCCTAACACCCCACCCCCCAACAGGCCCTGGTGTATGGTATTCTTCTCCCCATGTTCATGTGTTCTCATTGTTCAGCTCCCACTGATGAGTGAGAACATGTCATGTTTGGTTCTCTGTTCCTGCATTAGTTTGCTGAGAATGATGGTTTCCAGCTTCATCCATGTCCCTGCAAAGGACATGAAATCATCCTTTTTTATGGCTGCATAGTATTCCATGGTGTATATGTGCTACATTTTCTTTATCCAGTCTATCATTGATGGGCATTTGGATTGGTTCCAAGTCTTTGCTATTGTGAACAGTGCTGCAATAAGCATATGTGTGCATGGGTCTTTATAGTAGAATGATTTATAATCCTTTGGGTATATACCCAGTAATGGGATTGCTGGGTCAAATGGTATTTCTGGATCCAGATCCTTGAGGAATTGCCACACTGTCTTCTCAATGGTTGAACTAATTTACACTCCCACCAACAGTGTAAAAGCGTTCCTATTTCTCCATATCCTCTCCAGAATCTGTTATTTCCTGACTTTTTAATGATCGCCATTCTAACTGGTCTGAGATGGTATCTCACTGTGGTTTTGATTTGCATTTCTCTAATGACCAGTGATGATGAGCTTTTTTTTCATGTTTGTTGGCTGCATAAATGTCTTCTTTTGAGAAGTATTTGTTCATATCCTTCACCCACTTTTGATGGGGTTGTTTTTTGACTTGTAAATTTGTTTAAGTTCCTTGTAGATTCTGGATATTAGCCCTTTGTCAGATAGATAGATCGCAAAAATTTTCTTGCATTCTGTAGGTTGCCTGTTCACTCTGGTGGTAGTTTCTTTTGCGGTGCAGAAGATCTTTAGTTTAATTAGATCCCATTTGTCAATTTTGGCTTTTGTTGCCATTGCTTTTGGTGTTTTAGTCATGAAGTCTTTGTCCATGCCTATGTCCCGAATGGTATTGCCTAGGTTTTCTTATAGGGTTTTTATGCTTTTAGGCCTTACGTTTAAGTCTTTAATCCATCTTGAGTTAATTTTTGTATAAGGTGTAAGGAAGGGGTCCAGTTTCAGTTTTCTGCATATGACTAGCCAGTTTTCCCAGCACCATTTATTAAATAGGGAATCCTTTTCCCATTGCTTGTTTTTGTCAGATTTGTCAAAGATTGGATGGCTGTAGATGTGTGGCATTATTTCTGAGGCTTCTGTTCTGTTCCATTGGTCTATATATCTGATTTGGTACCAGTATCATGCTGTTTTGGCTACTGTAACCTTGCTCATACAGCCCGAAGTAATTTATACATTCAATACTATCCCCATCAAGCTACCATTGTCTTTCTTCACAGAACTAGAAAAAACTACGTCAAATTTCATATGGAACCAAAAAAGAGCCCGTATAGCCAAGACAATCCTAAGCAAAAAGAACAAAGCTGACTGACTTCAAACTATACTACAAAATCTGGTTTTATTTCATTTTTCCTGCTAAGAATAAAAATAATTGTTAGCAAATATCATTGTTATGTTGACATTCGTCTCATAATTCCAACAAAATAGTTCTGAAAAAAAATAATCCTGCTTTGAGATATAAAATACAAAGGACAGACTTTCCTTGCTCTAGCAATATGAGATCTCTAAGTGTTCTTTGTTAAAAAGTTAAAGTGATTGTAACCATAGATCATGTCCTTTGCAGGGACATGGAAGGAGCTTGAAGCCATTATCCTCAGCAAACTAATGCAGGAAAACAAAACCAAACACCCCATTTCCTACTTATAAGTGGGAGTTGAACAATGAGAACACAGGGACACTTGGAGGGATATGGCACACACTGGGGTCTGTGGGAGGGTTGGGGGAGAGAGACCATCAGGATAAATAGCTAATGCATGTGGGGCTTAATACCTAGTTGATGGGTTGATAGGTACAGCGAAACACCATGGCACACATTTAACTATGTAACAAACCTGCAGGTCCTGCACACGTATCCTGGAATTTAAAATTAAATTTAGAAAAATCAGATTAAAACAATTACAAAAATTTTAAAATGCATATAAATTTTGAATTAAAGTAAATTAAAAGAAAAACCTGTTAATAACATGACTGAAATAGTGAGAGACACAGTATGATGTAGAATATTCACCTAGAAATGTGCTTTGACAGGAAAAACAATATACACAGAATGTCTATCTATCTATCTATCTATCTATCTATCTATCTATCTATCTATCGAGATAAAGTAGCATATGTTCCTTTTTGTTTTGAGGAAAATTTTCTTGGTCTTTTTTTCCCTCTGAAGTTACACAGAATAATTCTAAAGCTTCTTTCACATAGCAAGTGAAATATTTGAAAATAGTTTTCATTTGCCTGTTTAACAGTCTTACTCTCTTCAATCATATTTTCATGTAATGGATTCATATCCTACTATATTTCTATTTCTGTCCTTTACAGGCATAATCTCAAATGTTAATATATATTGTGTAATAGGTGTATATTGGATAGTAATAAACTGCTCATGGTAGGTTTTTCCACTTTTCTGGTTCAAATGGAATGGTTGATTTTCAAATGCTTCTGTTTAGTCCCACTAAATACCGGACACAAACACCAGAGTTTTCCTTGCCATAATCCAACATTTGGTTTTCTGGGAATCTGGAAACTTCCCGTCTTTTGGACAAGTGAATATTATTGCCCTGAGCTATTGAAAAGTGATAATTTGAGGTAAGATCATGTTTTCCATATTATTACACCACAAGTTATGTGCAAGTAGCACGAATAATGGGATGTCTTCATCATATAATATAGAGAAGGACATTTCATATAATACGTGGCATTGTGTGGAAGTTGCTTGAAAAATAATGAGCAATGGAAAATGTAAGAAAGTGTTGGACTCCCATACAGTTCTCTGTTGCATGCCACAGAAGGCATTTATATCATAAGAGTCTGTCTCAACACAAACATTCATTTCTCCACTGATCCATTGAGGGTCTATTACATATTCAGGACAACTTTTGACTCCCAGTGCAGGGCTATTTTAGGCATTCATTGATTCTCCTGTCAACACATGTTTTAATATATAAACTTGATGGTATCCTATCTCAGAAATTTGCCACTTATTTTACAAAACTTTTCTCCCTCAAAAAAGTCCAGTTAATTTTTTCCAATAAAAACATTTTATTTAAAATTTTTATTACCTCTGAAATTAACTCAAGAGGCTGTTTTGGAAGTCAAAAGTTGATTAATACAACTTTTTCTATTTAGCTCCCATTAGCCATAATATTTCATCTATGATACTATTCCACATTATATACTACCATATGTGAGTTTTAGCTTTACTCCTTTCTTTTTCTTTCTTTCTTTCTTTCTTCCTTTCTTTCTTTCTTTCTTTTCTTCTTTTTCTTCTTCTTCCTCTTCCTTTTCTTCTTTCTTTCTTTTTTCTTTCTTCTTTTTCTTCCTCTTCCTCTTTCTTTCTTTCTTTCTTTTCTTTCTTTCTTTTTCTTTCCCTCCCTCCCTCCCTCCCTCCCTCCCTCCCTCCCTCCCTTCCTTCCTTTCTGTCTTTCTTTGTCTTTCTTTGCCTTTCTTTCTTCTTTTTTTCTTTAAGGCTCTCACTCTGCCACCCAGGCTGGAGTACAATGGTGCAATCATAGATCACTGGATCCTTGACATCCCTGAACTCAAGTGATCCTCCCACCTCAGCCCCCTGAGTAGCTGAGACTACAGGAATGCACCATGATTCCCAGCTAGTTTTTGTATTTTGTACAGAGATAAGAGTGTCACCATGTTGCCCAGGCTGGCCTCAAATGCCTGGGCTCAAACGATTCACCTGCCTCGGCCTCCAAAAGTGTTGGGATTACAGACATTAATCTCATTATTTTTAATGTGGAGGTCTTTATATGAATAACTACATTTAGCTTATTAGATTAAGCCTACTGTTTCAAGATGTTGACATTACTTCGGATCCTCACTCAAATATTCAGCAAATTAGCTATTGCTCTCATTTAAGCATTATCTCTCTACATAAACATCCCTCACAATGTCATTTATATAATATTTCACACAAAAAAATTTAACACAGAACTTTACAGACTAAAACCAGAAATTCCCCTTTCATGTTTAAACCATTGATCAGTATACTTTAGGCTTTTCTCTGGTAAAAGCAGTTATCTAGATCAGTAATCTTTGAAATAACTGCTTGCACTACCTATCAGCAAACTAAAACTGAGCAAAAAATTCAATTCCTTTTTGTTTAATATTGTATACTTATACTACTAAATGAACGTATGTAGCATAAAATTTTACAAAAACTTAAACTGTAAAAAAGATTAAAAAATAAATTAAAAGACTGCTTCTGTTACCCCAATTAATTGTCTTAAGTTCTCACTAGAGTGCATATAATTTATTTAGGAGACCACTTAACTATTAAACAACTATTTTCTTCTGTCTTTCAAAAACATCATGATTATTTTGACTTTGTTTTGATTTTTTGTCTATCCTGCTACATAAAAAAGTAAATTAAATCGGTGTAGCTTTACTTTTTCTTAGGTAATAAACACTGGCTTCTAATAATCCATGCCAATAAATTTCTTCTAAACCACACTGCCCATGATTATTCTGGAACCATGTCCAAGTTCTACCTTCTTGATATTTTGGGAAAAAAAGGGATTATTCTCCATGACTCCCTGAAGATTATTTGTAAAAATTGAATTATCTTATTAGTACGTTTTCCCTGGAATCTGAAATGCAATGCCTTCACACCAGGACACATAAGCCCAACTCAATGTTTGGAGAAGTAAAAATTACAGAAGAAATATTATTATACTATTTGCATAATTACTCAGGCTGACATCTATTTGCAAAGACATGGTATATTTCGAAATAAAAGTAAAAGCCATGACCCCTGAAATAAGCCCTGAAAGGATAATGTAGAAATGAGGAATAGTTGCATCATGTATCACAGATTCATCTCTTGTATTGGTCTGCTGTAGCTGCCATAACAAAATACCACATACTAGGTGGCTTAAACAATAGCATTGTATTTTCTAACATTTCTAGAGGCTGGAAGTCAAAGACCAGGGTCTTGGTAGGTTTGGTTTCTCCTGAGGCCTCTTTATGGTCTTGAAGATGACCACTCTCTTCCTGTGCCCTCACGTGGTTTTCTATCTGTGCATGCACACTCCTGGTATCTCTTCTTCTTATAAGAACACAAGTTCTACTGGATTAGAGCCCCTGCCCTTACAACTTTGTGTAGCCTCAATTACTTCCTTAAAGGTCTTATCGTCACAGTCACATTGGGGGTTACATGTTCAACATATTAACTTGGGGAGGCAAGACAAAATTAAGCCCATAAAACTCTCCATTCTATCCTTCTCCTTGAATTAATGTTCCTCTCATACGCAAAATATATTCACTCTATCCCAACATCCCTAAAAGTGTTAATTCATTGTATCATCAACTCTAAGTTCAAAGCTTTATGTAAATATCATCCAAACCAGCTATGGGTGAGTCTAGATGTAGGATTTATCCAGAGTCAAGATTATTCTTTATATATGAACTTTTAAAACTGGAAAACTTATCTGCTTCCAAAATACAATAGTAGAATGGTCATAAGATAGATATTCACATTACAAAAGGGAGGAATCAGAAATAAGAAAGGTGTCCCAAGGAAGTCCAACACATAGCAAGGAAAATTCTACCACAATTTAAGACACAAAAATAAAGCTCATGGTCATTCTTCCTTTTCCTTGAAGGATAGTAAGTGTTCAAAGCCAACTAGTTCATTTGTCCTATTTTTATAATCCCCAAGGTTCAACAGCCTTTCTTAATTTTATCTTATTTCTTTCCACAGTCTGATCTAACAGTGTCTCTGCTAGTATATTCTCATTGCTCTTCCTGGCTTGGCTTCTGCTGATATGCTCATTAAATCTATGCATCACAGACATAGTCTTTTTAGCAAATAATTTTCCAACCACATCCTTTGTCCTTGGTGTTCTGTTCAGTACAAATTTGCTCAATTTTTGCAATATGGATAGGTTGTGAATTTTTCAAATCTTTAATCCCTGACTTCTCATTGTTCAGCAATTCCTTCAACTTATCTCTCTCTTCTCACATTTTATTTTAAGAAATAAAGAAAAAACAGGCTGTGTCTTTAACACTTTGCTTGAAAATCCCCTCAACTAAATATCGAAGTTCATCGCTTTCTACTTCTACCTTCTACAAAACACTAGAACAAGTTCTAGTGTTCAGCCAAGTTCTTTGCCCACCTTACAACAATAATTGTCTTTTATTTGGTTTCCAATAACATGTTCTCCATTTTGTTCTGAGACCTCACCAGAATCACCTTTAATATTTATATTCCTAGAAACAGTCTTATTAAGGTAGTAGAGGCCTTTGTAACATGCACCTCAAAACTTTTTCAGCCTCAATTAATGACTCATTTCCAAAGCCACATTCATATTATTAAGTATTTGTTACAGTAGTATCCCAGTTCTTGGTATCAAAATCTATATTATAGTAGTCTTTCTTATTCAAGGCACCCCAGTGTACGTATGAAATCATGGATAGTACTGAAAACTATATATATTAAGGTTTTGTTTTTTTTTAAATCTGATGACCAAGGTGGTTACTAAGTGACTAAAAAGCAAGCAGCATATACAGCATGGCTATGCTGGACAAAGGATTTATTGATGTCCAAGGCAGGATGGAGTAGGAAGGTGAGAGATTTTAGCATGAACCTCAGAATGGCATGCAAGTTAATATTTATAAATTGTTTATATCTGAAATTTTACATTTAATGTTTTCAATTGACTGCAAATAACTGAAACTGCAGAAAGCAAAACTACATATAAGGTTAGACTACTTTACTTTGCTAGGGCTGTCATGACAAAATAACATAGACTAAATGGCTTAAATATTTCTTTTTTTATAGTTTGGAGATAGGAATTCCAAGATTAAGGTGTCAATAGATTGATTTCTCTTGAGGCCTCTCTCCTTGGTTTGAAGATGGCCACTTTCTTGTTGTGTTCTCACATGGCCTTCTTTCTAGGCACATACTCCTGGTGCCTTTTCCTCTTCTTATAAAACCATGAGTCCTATTGGATCAGGGCCCCACACTTTGTACTTCATTTAACCTTAATTACCCCCTTAAAAACTCTATCTTGAAATACAGTCACACTAAGTCTTAGGTCTTCAACTAATTAATTTTTTCTCAAGGAAGGGGACACAAGTCAGTTAATAATATCTCAACTTTAGATATTTTTATTGGTAAAATATTTATTATAATAAATATCTATGTATAGATTATTTTGATGAAATCTAGTCCTTTATGAATTAAAGTTTCAGGCTTTAAGTCAACTGATGATTAGATTAATTATGTTCAAACTTTTTATTAATAAAACCTTTTCACAAAACCAAATTTGTTCACACACTCAAAAAATTAAAGCCTCAAAATAAACTGAAGACTCAAAATAACATTAGTCAAGTTAAGGAAAAATAATTGCAAAGTAATGATAATACATGAATACAATATTTTAGTATTCATAATGGCAAGTACAATTACTGTGCTATTCATTATTTACCTATCAGCAGGTATTTTTTTGTGTAGAATTTCTCAATTCCATAAAGATGCATTCTTATACATGAATGAGGGCAAGCTCTTGCACTTACCTAAAAATAAGATAATTTAACTTGATGATGACTCTAATTCAAACTGTGACCCCTGGTTTTACTTAGCTGAAAGCTTTTTGTAACACTTGTACCTAAATACTAAGTTATAAAGCACAAATAAAATTCACATGAATTAATTAATATTTAACCATACATATTTTAAGTACCTCAAGTACAATGAGAAACTCATTGAAAACCACAGGCTGAGAACCTATTTAAAATAAGAAGGAACAAAAGTAAAGAAGAAAATAAACAAACCTAGGTGAGATGACTGTCACTCATTAACTCTATGGTAGTGAACACATTTCTTAAACTTTGTATACCAGGGGTGGAATGATAATTCATACTTCCTGGAGAAAAAAAAATAAAAAAATCTTCACAAATTATTTGGAAAAAAATTGAGAAAATAAATGAAACATACTTTGAGCATTTTACTTTTTGTTTTTAAAAGATATGTTTTTATTAGATGCATTTGAATTCCCTTCTCCCTAATTTCATTGCCCTTTCTTCTCTTCACTCTGTTATAGAGATTGTTTATACCCTTCCTATCAATGTTTTTATAGTCTTACTGCAAATCAATATATCCACAAGTTTTGTATGAATGGCATTATAGTGTGTATATTACTGTGTAACTTGCTTCATTTTTCTCAATATTGTTCTCTGAATTATCCAAGTCAATATATGTAGGTTTTATATATTAACTTTATTTTCTGTATAATATTCAATCATATGGCTGCACCAAAATGTATTTATACATTCTCTTGCTAATCAACATTTGGGTCTTTAAAAATATTGTATTATTACAAATGAATGTTGCAATTAATACCTTTGTGTGTGTCTCTTTGTTCAAATATGTGAAACTTTTTCTAGGGAATCCACAAAGATAATAAATTGCGAGGTCAAAGGATGTATGCAAATTTTAATTTACTAGATATTGCAAAGTTGCTCTCCGAAGTTTAAAAGTTTATAATCCCAGCCTGGCCTACATAGCAAAACCCTATCTCTACTAAAAGTACAAAAATTAGCCGGGTGTGGTGGCAGGTGCCTGTAATCCCAGCTACTCTGGAGGCTAAGGAAAGGAGAATTGCTTGAACCGGGGAGGCAGAGGTTGCAGTGAGCCGAGATCCTGCCACTGCACTCCAGCCTGGGTGACAGAGCGAGACTCCATCGCCAAAAAAAAAAAAAAAAAAGTTCATAGTTATATCAGCTGTTTATAAAAGCTTATCTTGCTTCATATCCTTCCTAATCATTGAACTTATGTGTATACAACATGATGTTTGGAAACATGTGTGCATTGTCAAATGCCAACTTGAGCTAATTAACATATACATTATGTCACATACTTATCATTTTTGTGGTGAAAAGACTTAAAATCTATTTTATTAGCAATTTTTAAGAATCCAATATGTTGTTATTAACAATAGTCACAATGCTGTGCAATTGATCTCTTTATTTATTCCTACTATCTAACTGAAATTTTGTATCCTTTGACAAACACCTTCCCAACATCCCCTCCAGCTCCTGGTAAACACTCTTCTACTCTCTATTTCTATGAGACCAATTATTTCAGATTGCACACTTCAGGGAGATTATGTGATATTTGTCTTTCCGTACCTGGCTTATTCCACTTAACATAACGTCCTCCAGCTTCACTCATGTCACAAATGACAGAATTTATTTTTCAAGACAGAATAGTATGCATGCTGATATGGTTCAGATATGTGTCCCCACCCAAATCTCATGTTCTGTTGTAATCCCCAATGTTGGAAGTGGGGCCTGATGGGAGGTGATTGAATCATGGGGGTGGTTTCTCAGGGATGGTTTAACAACATCCCCTTGATGCTGTCCTCCTGATAGTAAATTCTCTTGAGATCTGGTTGTTTAAAAGTGTGTAGTGCCCCCCATCCCCAATTCTTACTCTCTTGCTCCTGATCCTCCCATGAAAGGTGCCTCATTCTCTCTTTGCATTCCACCATAATTGGAAGCTTCCTGAGTTCTCCCCAGAAGAAGAAGCCACTATGCTTCCTGTGCAGCCTACAGAATCACGATCCAATTAAACCTCTTTTCTTTCTAAATTACCCAGTCTCAGGCATTTATTTATAGCAATGAAAGAATGGACTACTTCAGAAAATTGGTGCTGAGAAGTGGGGCGTTGCTGTGAAGATACCTGAAGATGTGAAAGAAACTTTTGGAATTGGGCACAGAGTTTGGAGGGCTCAGAAGAAGACAAGAAGATGAGGGAAAGTTTGGAACTTCTTAGAGACTGGTTTAATGGTTTTGACCAAAATACTAATAGTGACTTGGAAAGTGAAGTCCAGGTTGACTAGGTCTTAAATGGAAATGAGGAACTTATTGGGAATTGAAGCAGAGGTCACTTTTGTTATGCCTTAGAAAAAAACTTGGTTTCATTGTGCCCCTGCTCTAGGGATCTGTGGAACATTAAAATTGAGAGTGATAATTTAGGGTATGTGGCAGAAGAAATCTCTAAGCATTAAACTCTTCATGATATGATCTGGCTGCTTCTAACCAACTATCTGATATGTGTGAGCAAAGAAATGACCTATAGTTGGAATTTCTATTTAAAGGAGAAGCAGAGTGTAAAAGTTTGAAAAATTTGCAGCCCAGTCATGTGGTAGAAAAGAAAAGCCTATTTTCATGGGAGGAATTCAAGCAGGCTGCAGTAATTTACATAAGTAAGAAGAATTCAAGTGCTAATAGCTAAGACAATGGGGAATAGGCCTCAAAGGCATTTCAGAGACCATCCTGGCAGCCCCTCCCATCACAGGCCTGGAAGCCAAGGAGGACTGAAATGTTTCCTGGGCCAGGCTCAGGGTCTTGCTACTCTGCACAGCCTTTGGACAATGTTCCCTGCATCCAGCTGCTCCAGCTCCAGCCACAGCTCAGAGGGGCCCAGGCACAGCTCAGACAACTGCTTCAGATGGTACAAGCCATAATCCTTGGTGGCTTTCACATGGTGTTAACCTTACAGGTGCCTAGAGTGCAAGAATTGAGGCTTGTAAGCCTCCACCTAGATTTGAGAGAATATATTGAGAAGCCTGGGTGTCCAGGCAGAAGCCTGCTGAAGGGGCATAGCTGTCATGGAGAACCTCTACTAGGGCAGTGTGGAGGCAAAATTTGGGGTTGGAGCCCCCACACAGAGACCCCACTGGGGCACTGCCTAGTGGAGCTGTGAGAAGAGGGCCACTGTCTTCCAGATCCCAAAATGGTATATCCACTGACAGCTTTCCCTCTGTGCCTGTAAATGTTGCAAGTACTCAACAACAACCTGTGAGAGCAGCCATATGGGCTGAGCTCTGCAAATGTTGCAAGTACTCAACAACAACCTGTGAGAGCAGCCATATGGGCTGAGCTCTGCAAAGCCACAGGGACAGAGCTGCTCAAGGTTTTGGGAGCCCACTACTTCTACCAGTTTTCCGTGGATTTGGGACATGGTGTCAAAAAATATTATTTTGGAGCTTTAAGATTTAATGACTGTCCTGCTTGGTTTCAAACTTGCATGGGCCTACAGCTCCTTTCATTTGGCTGATTTCTCCCTTTCAGAACAGAAATGTTTACCAAATGCCTGTGTTCACACTGTGTCTTGGGTATAACTGACTTGTTTTTTATTTTGCAGGCTTATAGGTGGAAGAGACTATCCTTGCCTCAGATAAGACTTTGGAATTTTGAGTTAATGCTGGAATTATTTCAGACTTTGGGGATTATTGGGAAGGCATGATTATATATATATTTTTTTTCTTTTTTTTATTATACTTTAAGTTTTAGGGTACATGTGCACATTGTGCAGGTTAGTTACATATGTATACATGTGCCATGCTGGTGCGCTGAACCCACTAACTCGTCATCTAGCATTAGGTATATCTCCCGATGCTATCCCTCCCCCATCCCTCCACCCCACAACAGTCCCCAGAGTGTGATATTCCCCTTCCTGTGTCCACATGATTATATTTTGCAATATGAGAAAGACATGAGATTTGGGAGAGGCAAGGAGAGGAATGATATGGTTTGGTTATGTGTCCCCACACAAATAGTAATCCCTAATGTTGGAGGTAGGGCCTGGTGGGAAGTGATTGTATCATGGGGGTGATTTCTCAGGAATGGTTTAGCATTCCTTGACACTATTCTCATGATAGTGAGTTCTTGCAAGATCTGGTTTAAAAGTGTGTAACACCTCTGCCCCCCCCACCCCCACCATCTCCTGCTCCTGCTTCCACCATGTGACATGTCTCATTCCCCTTTTGCCATCTGCCATGATGGGAAGCTTCCTGAGGCCTCTCCAAAAGCAGAAGCCACTATGTTCCCTGTACTTCCTATACAACTGTGAGCCAGTTAAACCTCTTTTCTTTATAAATTACTGAGTCTCAGGTATTTCTTTATAGCAATGCAAGAACTGACTAATATACGTGCACATGAACAACAGCCCTGCATTATCAAATGGAAGTAATATTTATGAGATCGGGCTTGAGCAGGCCCTAAGGGCACAAGCAAGTAACACAAGGTAAAGGTCCAAATATTCATGCTCCCTACTATTAATATACTATCATTTTCTTCCCAGCCCAATTCTATGGCCTCTTAGGAAGTTCCCTACAAGAAGTTTACCAAGGAAGAGAAAACTTGGGCCTGGTTTACAAATAGTTCTCTATGACTTGTGGGTACTACCAAAAGGTAGACAATTGCAGCATTATAGCCTTTTCCTAGAACATCTCTGAAGTACTGTCATGAATGAAAATCTTTGCAGAAGGCATAACTCCATACAGTGCACCTACATAGTTGGTTGTTTACTTTGGTTAGTAGGAGAAATGGCCAGATGTGTGATTATATATTGATTCACGGAATTTGGTAAGTGGTTTGTCAGGATTGTCCAGGTTTTAGGAGGAACATGACTAGAAAGTTGTTTACAAGGAATCCCTGGGACAATGTATGTGGATGAACCTCTCTGAATGGGGGAAAAATGTGAAGATATTTGTATGTCACGTGAATGCTTACCAAACAGTGACATTTACGAGAATTTCAATAATCAAGTGAATATGATGACTCATTATTCAAATAACTGTCAGCCTCCTACCACAACTATTTCTGCCATTGCCAGTGGGCTTATAACTAAACTGACCATGGTGAAAAAATTGGAGGCTATGCATGGGCTCAGCAACAGACTTCCACTCACCAAAGATAACCTGATTACAGTCACTACTGAGTGTCCATATGTCAGCAGAAGAGATCAACTTTGTGTGCCTTATATGGCACCATGCATCAGAGTAATCAGCAAACTACCAGGTGGCAGGTTGATTACTTTGGGCTGCTCTCACCATGGAAGATGAAATATTTTGTTCTTACTGGAGTAGAGAGTCGGAATACAGAATTCCCTTCCCTGCACACAATTCTTTTCCCAAACCTACCATCCATGAGCTTATCGAATACTTTATTCACCATCATGATATTCCACACAACATTGCTTCTGATCAATGAACTCACGTGACCACAAATGAAGTGAAGCAATGGACCCATGCTCATGAAATTCACTGACCTTACATATTCCTTTTTATACTCAAGTATCTGGATTTATGGAGTGAAAGAATGATCTTTTTAAGACTCAGCGACAGCACCAGAAAAGTTGCAATACTTTGTGTATTTTATTGTTTAGAAACAAGTTATTCAAGGAAAGTGGATTACACAAGGTCATAAATAACAGGAAGAGGAGATCATTGAGAGGCCATCTTAGAGGCGGCCTATCACTATGGTGGTGTTATAATCACTAATTGAAGGTGTCCTGGAAAACCTACTGGTAAAGGACAGTGATCGCACATATAAAGAGTATTACGTTTTAAAAATATGGATGAAATAATGTATACAAAGAAAGAGAGATTTATTGACTGCTGTTAAACTGTATTTATGGTCTTCAGAGGACTAATAAAAAGCTGACAGCTCTTAACACAAAGTAAAGTCAATAAAAATAACATTGAAAACAAAAACTAAGTGTGAGAGAGCCCCAGGGGTTCTTTGGTAGTTGACAAGGAAGTCCTTATCTTTGGCAGTGAAAGGGTAGATACAATCAAGCAACAACCTGAAGATTTGATAGAGTTGTAGAGCTCCAGAATCACATAAACCTTATCCAAATAAAGTCTTGATGCTAGCGTATGCTCTGTTTTTAAAAAAATTTGGGACCTTGAAACAGGATGGGAACACCAGATGGGACCATGGCAGAATCCCCTGAAACAAGAGTCTGCAGAGGTAAAATAGTATTCCATAGAAGCAAGCTTATACTTTCCACAGGCTGGAAGACTCTACAGATGTTGAAATCTTGCAAGGTAAGATGTACACATCTTCATAAATCAGCCCCACCTCCTCTCCTGGCTGCTAGGCTGATAATTATAATTAAATTCAAAAATGAACCTAGTTGAAAAACACTGGTCTAGATAATGAAGGAAAAAAGATTGTACACTGATGAAGCTGTAAGAATTAACATTTTACTACTTAGAACAAGGGAAATACCACTGGGATTAAAGTTTGAAGGTGATTGATTAAAGGTGCTTAAAGTTAAAAACTGGATAAGCAAGAATTCGTTGAATTTAAGGTACCTCCTCAGACTATATGATTTAATCTCCTGGGAAGGACACTAGTAAATGGGGCAAACTCTCAGCTTATATGACTCTAAGTAGCCTATAAAAAGCAATGGACATCATCAAAATTAGGTAAAGTAGAAATGCCTGAGCTGCCCTAGCAAACAATAAAGGAAGGAATAATGGTGTTTATGGAAGTAGACTTATTGGAATGGATATATTTTGCTGGGTTGGAAGACTCACAACAGGGTTATCTTTCATAGAACGGTACAGAAGGTACAACATTCACCAAAGCTATAAGCAATGTGCTAGTGAGAGTGACATCAGCATCACTAAGAAGTTTTCAGTATAGGACTACCAACAGGAGAACAGAACTAAGCTTATTGATATCTATTAGAATGACTGGATACTAACATAGTTACTAGATAAATTAACTGCTGGAAACCAAGAAAACAATTACTTTAATGACCAAAATATTGATGAAATAGTGAAAGGGACATGTTCAGTAGTAACTTTTAAAGATGTGCACCAATGTAAGGCATCTCTAAGGGCAAAATAAAGCAAACAATTGTGTTGCCCAATAGCATCAACAACAAAGAACTGGTACAATGGTGGAGCAAGAGACTAAGGAAGATCCAATAAAAGTGTATAAGTTCTTGTTCAGTTTTGGGACCTAAGCCAACTTTCAGATCCATAATCCATTGACTAAAGAAGTAATAAATAGGGTCCTGACTAAAGCCTGTCTTATAATGGGCTCACTGGTTCTACAGGAAATGCTAGTAGTCATTTTTGCAGTCTTTGAGTGTATATTTGGAATATGTATACTTGTAGTTGGGATAACACCCACACCGAGTCCTTGGCCTATGGTGTAAGAACTATCATAGGAGGGATAGCTAAATGGAAACCACTGAATCTGCCCACCTCCACACAGTCAAAGTTAGTAAATAGAAAAGACAACTGCCTCCTAAGAAAATGGCAAAGATTACTGCCATCTTTAAGCCCCCTACATAAAAAAAAGTAGTGATATTGATCCCTATTATATATCCATTTAATTTGCTGTTTGGGCCTCTGAATAAATAGGTGGATCCAGGAAAATGACTGAAGATTTTTATAAATTTAATGAATGAATATCCCCAATTACAGCTGCTTGGGTGATTATGTTATCATTGCTACAGGATATTAATAAGTATTAGGGTACATGGTACGCTGCCACTGATATGGCAACTACATTATTTTTAATCCCAGTCAGCAAAGATGATCAAAAGCAGTTTGTATTCATATAGATGGACAACAGTATTATTTACAGTTTTGCTATGTTTTCCTTCCTCTGTCATAATATATTCACAAAGATCAGAGCCACTCAGATATCCCACAAATTATATTGCCACATTATAATGACATATAATTGGGCAGGATGAGCAAGAGGTGGTTAATCCACTAAAGGCATTGGTAAGCAACATGTTCTTCAGGAGATGAGAAATAAATTCTATAAAAATGCTAGAACCTGTCATTTAATTGAAGCTTTTAGAAAACAAATTATCAGGGGCATGTGTGGATATCCAACCCCCAAAATAGTAAAGTACAAATACCTGCACCTTATAGCTCCTGCAAAAAAAGAAGAAAGCACAAAATCCAGTAGGTCCCTGTTCTCCAGTCTACACTTGCTATTCCATGAAATACTACCTAGCCCATAAACTAGGTGACACTAATTGCTTCCATCTTTCTCTGGCATCTAATGCAGAAAGAGTCTTCACAGCAGGTCCAGGCTGTGGTGCAAATGTCCTTGCAACTTTAGACATATGATGCCTTATACCCAATAAAAATGACATAGACTGTAGTTAATGGCAAGCACTAGAGTGAGAATCACAAAGCAGACCCCTGGGACTCTGGAGACAGGCTATTTCAACCACAGCAGATACTTACATGTCATTTGAAAGATAGCACTTGACATGGTACTTGGCCCTGGTAGACAGAAGTTTTAAGCATGGAGCACCAAGTGTCCATACTTTTATAGTTTTTCATTATGAGTTGGGTTGTGTTGAACATACCAAGACATAAAGGGAGATGAGCTCAGGAGAAGTCATGTTAAGATGGAGAAGGCATATCCAGAATCAAGCAAAAAAAAAAAAAAAAAAATCAGCATAAATAAGATGCATGAGCAAGTAGCCCAGATTCCCACATCACCCACCGAAGTTGTATTAATATCCTTCCCTAAGCTTGTAGGTATGACCATATACAGAGTACTTAATCCATGGAAAGAGAATGACAATTTTAGTGTGTGATGGGCAAAAATCAATGGCAGAAACATTATAGTCACCTACAGGAATTTTCCAGACAGTCAGTGTAGAGAAAAAAGGAATGGAGATGAGGGAATAAATAGGACTTTGTTTTGCAACTTGGATACAAACTCAGCCAAAGTAGAATAAGAAACCAGGCAGAATCTGGAGGTTCCCATTCCAGGCCCTAGCTCCTAGATGACATTTCTAGACACATATTGGTCCAGAAAGAAACCATCTGCTTTGAAGTGAAGGACCTAGTACTGGCATGATTTATCACCTGCTGACTAAACAGCACTTGGGCCAAGAATGAACATCAGTGGTAGCCAAGGTAGTACTTACCATGAGCCTTGCATAAGACCCAGGAATATGCAAGCTTCAGGTGTGACCCAGTGCATTCCTAGCTATGGAGGCCACAGGTAGAGATGCATTCTGTTTAAGAAAAGGAGAGAAATATAAAGGGGATTTAGTCTTGCAGCTTGGGAACCAGCTTGACCACAGTGGGGTAGAGCACCAAGCAGGCTCTTGGGGTTCCCTATTCCAGGCCTTGGCCCCTGGATGGCATTTCTGGACCAGCCTGTGATCAGAGGGGAGCCTGCTGCCCTGAAGGGAGATACCCAGGCCTGGCAGCATTCACCACAAGCTGACTAAAGAGCCTGTGAGCATTGAGTGAACAGCGGCAGTAGCCAGGCAAAACGTGCTATGACCATGGGGCAGTGATGGCCATGGAGAGGGACCCTTTCCGCTTGATAAAAGGAGATGAATGCATCAGAACAAATTTATCTTGTTTCTTGAGTGCCAGCCTAGCCACAGTAGATTAGAGGAGAAGTAGATTCTTGAGGTTCCTGGCTCCAGGCTCTGGCTCCTGGATGGCATATCTGGACCTGCCGTGGGCTGGAAAGAAACTCGATGCCCTGAAAGAAAGGACAAAAGCCTAACAAGACTTGCCATGTGCTGAATGAAGAGGGCTTGGGCCTTGAATTTGTGTTGATAGTAGCCAGGCAGTGGTCACGATGTGTATTAACAATACCCTGTGCTGTATTCCCTCAGGTCTTACGCAGCAAAGTTCCAGTGTGGTAGCCATGGGGTGCCTGTGTCACTCATCCACTAGCTCCAGGCAACTCAGCACAGACAGACTCTGTTTGTTTGTGGGAAAGTAAGGAAATAGAACAAGAGTCTCTGTTGGGTAATCCAAAAATTTTCTCAGATCTTAATAAAGACTACCGAGGAGGTATCTCTAAAAATCTGCAAGAGTCACAACATTATTGGACTTACAGTGCCCTCTAATGCAGATTCAGTTGCAGTGACCAGAGACTTAAATCACAACACTCAATTCTCTTTGAATACTGGAAAATCCTTCCAAAGGGGACTGGTACAAACCCAGATAGTGAAGAGTAGAGTAAATCCCAAACTCTTTAATGCCTGGACATGGATGAACATTCCTTAGCTTCAAGATCATCCAAGAAAGTATGACCTCACCAAATAAACTAAAGAAGTCACCAGTGACCAAACCCAGACAGAGAGAGAGATGGGTGAACTTACAGACACAAAATTTAAAGTAGCTTTTTTGAGGAAACTCAACAAAATTCAAAAGATCACTGAGAAGGAATTAAGAATCTTGTTAGATAAATTTAACTAATAGAATAAAATAGTTTTTAAAAATGAAGCTGAATATTTGAAGCTGAAACATTTAATTGACATACTGAAGAATGCATCAGAGTCTCTCAATAGTAGAATTGATCAAGCAGAAGAAAGAATTAGTGACCTTAAAGAATGGCAATTTGAAAACACAAAGTCAGAAGAGAAAAAATAAAAAAGAATAAAGCATATTGAAAATATCTTTAAAAAATAACATCAAAAGAACAAATCTAAGAGTTATTGGTCTTAAAGAGGAGGTAGAGACAGAGATTGAGGAATAAAGTTTATTCAAAGTGATAATAACAGAGAATATCCCAAACTTAGAGAAACATGTCAATATTCAAGTACAAGAAGGTTATAGAACATCAAACAGATTTAACCAAATAAGACTACCACAAGGCGTTTGATAATCAAAATACCAAAGGAAAAAGATAAAGAAAGTATTCCATAAGCAACAAGATAAAAGAAACAAAAATAGAATGGAGCTTAAACATGTCTGGAAGCAGACTTCTCAGTGGAATTCTTGCAGGCCAGTGGGAAATGGTATGACATATTTAAAGCACTGAAGAAGAGGGAAACACACACACACACACACACACACACACACACACAACTTTTACCCTAGAATAAGATATCTAGTGAAAATATCCTTCAGACATGAAGGAGAAATAAACACTTTTCCAAACAAACAATGCTGAGTGATTTCATCAACACCAGATCTGTTTTATAAGAAATGCTAAAGGGAGTTCTACAGTCTCAAAGAAAAGAATATTAACGAGCAATAAAAAGTTATCTGAAGATACAAAACTCACTGGTAATAGTAAGTACACAGAAAAACACAAACTATTATAACAATATTTGTTGTGTGTAAACCACTCATATTTTAACCTGAAAGGCTAAAATATGAACTGATCAAAATAATAACTATAACAAGTTATAAAGACATATCATAATAAGAAAAAATTTGAAGTATCAAAACTATTAAAAGCAGAGTGGATGAAGTTGAAGTGTAGATTTTTCATTAGTTTTCTCTTTGCTTGTTTGTTAGATTATTTGTTTGCCTTTGCAGTTAGTGTTATCATTCATTAAAAATAATTGGTTATAAGGTGTTATTTGGAAGGCTCATCTTAAGTCCTAACTTATCAATAATAACACTAAATGTAAATGGACTAAACTCTCCAATCAAAAGACATAGAAAGGCTGAATCAGTTAAAAAAACAAGACCCAACAATCTGTTGTTTACAACAATCCAACTGCACCTATAAAGACACACATAGACTGAAAACAAAGGAATGGAATAAATACTTTATGCAAATGGAAATGTAAAAAAGATCAGGAGAAGCTATATTTATATCAAATAAAATAATTTTTGAGACAAAAACCATAAAAAGTAAAAAGAATGTCATTATAAAGTGATAAAGAGGTCAATTCAGCAAAAGGATATAATAATCGTAAATACATACTCACCCAATATGGGATATCCAGATATACAAAGCAAATAATATCAGAAATAAAAGAGAGATAGACCCCAATAAAATAAAAGTTGTAGACATCAGCACCCCACCTTCAGCATTGTACAGATCATTCAGACGGAAAGAAAATCATCAGATTTAATCTGCACTTTAGGCCAAATGGACCTAATATATATTTACAGAACGTTTCATCCAATGGCTGCGGAATACACATATTTCTCCCCAGCACACTGATTATTCTCAAGAATGGTCCATATACTAGGCCACTAGACAAGAGTTTAAAAAATCGAAACAATTGAAATTATACCAAGTATCTTCTCTCACCACAATGCAATAAAACTAGAAATTAATAACAAGAAAATCTTTGGAAACTGTACAAACACATAGAAGTTAAACAATATGCTCCTGATGCTTTTGCACCAACCTAATGAGTTTCAACAGAAGTGTCAAGAATATACATTGGGGAATGGACCATCTCTTCAATAAAGGCTTCTGGGAAAACTGGCTATCCATACGCAGAAGAATGAAACTAGACCCCTATCTATCACTATATACAAAAATCAACCCAAAATGGATTAAACACTTAAATGAAGACCTCAAACTATGAAATGACTAAAAGAAGACATTGTGGAAAATCTTCAGAACATTGGTCTGAGCAAATATTTCTTAATCAATACCCCCACAAACACAGGCAACCAAAGCAAACCTGGACAAATGAGATCACATCATGTTTAAAAGCTTCTGTACAGCAAAGGATACAATCAGCCCAGTGAAGAGAAAGTCCACAGAATGGGAGAAAATATTTGCAAACCATCTATCTGGCAAAGAACTAATAACCAGAATATATAAGGAGCTTGAAAAACTCTAGGAAAAAATATAATAATCTGATTTTAAAATTGGCAAATGATTTCAATAGACATTTATCAACAGAAGACATGCAAATGGAAAACAGGTATATGAAAAGGTGCACAACATAACTGATCATCAGAGAAATGCAAATCACAACTACAAGAAGATATAATCACACCCCAGTTAAAACAGCTTTTATCTGAAAGCAGGCAATAATAAATGTTGACAGGGATCTGGAGAAAAAGGATGTCTAGCACACTGTTGAAGGGTATGTAAGTTACTACAGCTGCTGTGAAGAACAGTATGGAGGTTCCTCAAAAAAATAAAAATAGAATGATCATGTGATTCAGCAATTTAACTGTTAGGTATATACTGCCCACATCAACCCAAAAAAGGAAATCAATATATCAATGCTGTATCTTCACTTCCATGTTTATTGCAGCACTATTCAAAATAGGCAAGAATTGGAAGCAATCTAAGTGTTCATGCATGAATGAATGGATAAAGAAAACATGGTACATATATACAATGGAGCACTATTCAGCCATAAAAAATAAGATTCCATCATTTTCAGCAACATAGAAGGAACTGGAGGACATTATGGTAAGTGAAATATGCCAGGCACAGTAAGACTAACTTCACAGGTTCTTACTTATTTTTGGAAGCCTTAAATTAAAACAATTGAACTCATGGTGACTGAAAGTAGAATTGTTTCCAGAGTCTGCTAAGTGTAGTGGGTGAGGGACGGGGGCAGTTTGGTATGGTTAATGGTTACAAAAATAATGTTAGAATGAATAAGATCTAGTTTTTTACAGCACAATAGGGTGACTATAGTTAACAATAATAAATAATACTTATTAAAATAAATAAAATAGTACAATTGGGATGTTTGTAACACACAGAAATGATAAGTGTTTGAGGCAATAAATACCCCACTTACCTTGATATTGTTATGCATTGTGTGACTGTATTAAAATATTTCATGTACACTATATATATATATATATATATATATATATATATATATGTATACTTAACTTGTACCAAAAAATTAAAAAGTAAAAAGTATATAAGCCCTAAATTGCAAGGAAATGGGAGGCATAAAAATAGAAAGTAAATGCAGGTAAACTCAATGTTTTAGTTTATTAAGGATCATTATTTCATTCTTGATGTCAAGAAGACAATATATAGTATATTATCGTAGTTATTATATAATATGTAATTTTGTAAAGACGGACTTCTCCTTGCAGCTATTACGATGTAGCTTCATTCTGAGCAATACATCTGCTGAGAACAAGCAAAAAAAGGGAAACAATACTAAAACAAGTGTTTGAAGACATTGGAGAGCAACTAAGCCAAGATTTGTGGTGAGCCAAATTTATCCACAACGTTTACAATCAGAGCATTTGTTAACTCATAAGATGTACAAAAACAAGGGCTAAGGGGAAAAGTACATAGTCACAGCATAGAGTTCGAGCAGTTTTATGAAACGGAACAGACGTATTTCAGTGTTCAAAATCTTCCTAGGAGGAGGGACTCTAAACCAAGCCTCCACTGAGTATCCTGAAGGATATAATAATGTCCAGAAAGCTCTTATTGGATGAGAATTTCACCTTAAATTTTTTCAATTTTTGCTAGATCAAAGGGATATGAAATATTCTTAATGTTAGTCAGAATGGATATAAATCCTCTCTGGAATAAAATAAAATTATCTGGAGTCTTCAAATATTTGCATGCATTATGGTCAATAAATATTTACCAAATATCATACTAAAAATCTGGAAGAAATAAACAATATCCAAAAGGAAAAAATAGATTAAGAAACACATTGATAATCCAAATACTGAAATGATCAGTTATAGACTTTACAATAAATATAAATATTTTAAATATACAATGTAGACAATTTCATGAGAAAAATGAGATGTGTAAAAATAAGCACCATTGAAATTTTAGAGCTGTACAATTAAGTCACTGAAATCATGTTTTCTGTAGATGAGTGAAATAGTATTAGAAACAATGAAAGACAACATTAGTGTAAGATAACATAGGCAAATAGCAAATATCACAGAAAGTTAAAAAAAAAAGTCAAAAATACATATAATTATAGTCCCAGAAGAATAGAGGAAGAATGATTTGGAAGCAACATTTGAAGAAATTATTGTTAAGATGTTTTTGAACTCAGTAAAATATCAATCCATAGATTTGAGAAGCTCCTGAACACCAAGAGAATAAATATAAATTAAGCCAAATCTAAGTACCTTACTGATAAAAACCAAAGATATGAAAAAATCTTAAAGCAACAAAAGGGAATGTATAAGACATGCTACTATCTAATAAGTAACATAATACTGGCAACTAATTTTTCAACAAGAATGAGCAGAAAACAATAAAATGACATATTAAAATTCAGGAAAAAATAGCTGCCTAATTTAGAGTTCTATGCACAAAAAATTATCAAAATGAAGGTACAATAAATATATTTTTGACAAATAAACACAAGAGCATTTCTCACAGGTAGACTCTCACTAAAAGAAAATGTTAAAAATGATTTATTCAGGTAAAAAAATATGATCTCACATAGAAGCATGGGGATTTATAAAGATACATAGAATAATCAAAGGGTAAATATCTGGTTAACTTAAATAAATATTTACTCTAGAAAGCAGTAATAATAATAATATTACTGTGCTGTTGGGCTTAAAATATATGGAGAATTAAAATACTTCATAACAATAACATAAAAGATTTACAGTGCATAAATGGTATTCAATATTGTAATGTATTTACCTGCAAAGTGATAAAATTAGTAAATTACACAGTAATATGTCAAGGAAATATGTCACTAAATCTACAGTAACAGAAAATAAAAATGACAAGTTAAATGGTAAAAGATGGAATAATTAAAACAATTCTGAAGAATCAATGAAGAAATGTAAAATAAATAAAATTGACAAATGCAAAAATTGGATGTTTATAAAGATTAATCAAATTTATTAACCACTAATGTGAAAGATGAAAAAAATATAGAGAGGGAGAAGGTGAATATACCCAAATTGCTCATTACATTAGAGAAATGAAAAATGGGAGACCATTATAGATCCTATGGACAGGAGGATAGGAGGATATTATAAACATCTTTGTTACAAAAAGATTTAAATATTTGGATAAAATGCGCAAATTCCTTAAAATGCCACTTATGAAGAGTGACACAGAACAAATAGAAAATATTAATATTCTTATTTCAAATAAATATATTTAATCTATAATCAAAAGTTTTATCAGGGTAAACAAAACAAAGTGAAACAAAGCACTCCACGATGAGAAGGCATTCTTGGTAAATTTCTTCAAATATTTAAGAAAGAAGTAACATGAACTGTATATCTTCTTTAGATAGTGGGCAACAAAACCCTTTCTAACTTACATCTTCAAAAACAAAACCTCATAAGAGCAGTAGAATAAATAAAAATTAGAGGACAGTTTCTATTTAAAGTTAACAAACAAACAAAAAACACTTAATAAGCCAAAATATAAATTTGTCTTAGCTTTCAAAAATAAGTGCAATTTATATTTTGGGGGAATAAAGAATAAACATGATCATTTTAATACATATAGAAAGCAAATACTTTTAAATATTATATCTGGAGGTTGTTATGGGCTGGATGTGTACACTCCAAATTCATATGTTGAAGCCTGATTCCCAGTGGTATGATATTTGGAGGTGCTGTGGGAGCTGATTTGGTCATGATGATGGAAGCCTCGTGAATTGAATTAGTGCCCTTTTAAGAAGAGACAAATATACAATCTCTCTCCCTCTCTCTTTCTCTCTCTATCTGTCTCCCTACAACCTCTCTCTTTCTCTCTCTGTATTTGTCTCTCAGCCATGTGATGAAACATCAAGAAAGAATGTGTCTATAAGCCAAGAGGTGGGAAATATCCAGACACTGGGTCTGCCAGTACCTTTCTCTTGAATTTCATAGCCTGCAGATCTATGGGAAATAAATGTTTGTTGTGTTAGGAGAGAAGTTCACAGCACTAAACACCCACCCAAAAAAGTTAGAAAGATCTCAAATTAACAAGCTAACATCACAACTAGAGGAACTATAGAAACAAGGGCAAACCAACCTCAACGCAAGGAGAAGGCAAGAAATAACCAAAATCAGAGCTAAACTGAAGGAAATTCAGATGCAAAAAACATTCAAAATAACAATGAATACAGGAGCTAGTTCTTTTAAGAATTAGTAAAATAGATAGACCACTAGCTAGACTAATAAAGAAAAAAAAGAGATGAGATCCAAACAAACACTATCAGAAACTATAAAAGGGATGTTACCACTGACCCCAGAGAAATAGAAAAACCCTCAGAGACTATTATGTACACCTCTATGCACACATGATAGAAAACTTAGAAGAAGTGGATAAATTCCTGGAGACATACAACCTCCATAGATTAAATCAGGAAGAAATTGGATCCCTAAATAGACCAATAATGAGTTCCAAATTTGAATGAGTAATGAGAAGCTTGCTAACCAGAAAAAGCCCAGGACCAGAAGAATTCATAGCCAAATTCTACCAGATGCATAAAGAAGAACTGGTACCATTCTTACTGAAAGTGTTTCAAAAAACTGAGAAGGTAGGACTCCCCTCTATCACATTCTATGAGGCCAGCAGCATCCTGATACCGAAACCTGGCAAAGACACAACGTAAAAGAAGACTTCAGTCCAATAACTTTGATGAACATAGATGCAAAAATACTCAACAAAATACTAGCAGACCAAATCTAGCAGCACATAGAAACAAACAAAACAAAAAGGAATTCACCACTATCAAGTAGGCTTTATCCCTGGGATGCAAGATTGGTTCAACATATACAAATCAATAAATGTGATTCACCACATAAATGGAATTAAACACAAAAACCACATGATTATTTCAGTGGATACAGAAAAGGCTTTTGATAAAATTCAACATCACTTCATATTAAAAACCTTCAATAAACGAAACATTGAAGGAACATACTTCAAAATTACGAGAGCCATCTATGACAGCCCCACAGCCAATACGATACTGAATGGGCAAAAGTTAAATGCATTCCTCTTGAAAACCAGAAAACGACAAGGATGCCCTCTCTCACCACTATTATTCAAAATAATACTGGAAGTCTTAACCAGAGCAATCAAGAAAGAGAAAGAAATAAAGCCATCCAAATAGGAACAGTGAAAATCAAACTGTTCCTGTTTGCAGATGATGTGATTCTTTACCTAGAAAACCACACAGTCTCTGCCCCAAAGCTGCTTATAAACAACTTCAGCACACTTTTAGGATACAAAATGAATGTACAATAATCAGTAGCATTGATGTGCACCAGCATTGTTCAACCTGAGAGCCATGTCAAGAATGCAATCCCACCCACAATAGCAATAAAAAGAATAAAATACCTAGGAATAGAGCTAACCAAGAAGGTGAAAGACATCTACAATGAGAATTACAAAATGTTGCTTACAGAAATCAGAGATGACACAAACAAATGGAAAAACATGTTGTGTTTGTGAATAGGAACAATCAATATTATTAAAATGGCCATACTATCCAAAACAATTTGCAGATTCAATGCTATCATTATCAAATTACCAATGACATTTTTCACACAATTAGAAAAATATTATTTGAAAATTCATATGGAAGCAAAAAAAGCCCAAGTAGCCAAGGCAACCCTATACACACACACACACACATACACACACACACACACACACACACATCACAAAACTGGAGGCATTATATTAACTGGGTTCAATCTATACTTCTATACTACAAGGCTATAGTAACCAAAACAATCATTGTAATGGTATAAAACCAGACACAGACATATAGACCAATGAAACAGAATAGAGAGCTCAGAAACAAAGCCTCTTACCTACAACCATCTGATCTTCAACAAAATTAACAAAAAGAAGCAATGGGGAAAGGATTATTTATTTATTAAATGGTGCTGGAATAACTGGCTAGCCATATGCAGAAGATTTAAACTGGATTCCTTATTTTCATCATATACAAAAATTAACTCAAGAGGAATTAAAACTTTGCTATGAAAACTCTGGAAGATAACCTGGGAAATACCATTTTGGACATAGAAGGTAGCAAAGATTTCATGATGAAGATACCAAAAATCAGTTAAAATAAGAACAAAAGAAATGACAAAAAGGACCTAATTAAACAAAAGATCTTTTGCACAGCAAAAGAAACTATCAATAGAGTAAACAGATAATCTACAGAATGGGAGAAAATATTTGCAAAGTAAGCATCTGACAAAGGTCTAATATTCAGCATCTGTAAGGAACTTAAACAACTTTACAAAAAGCAAACAAACAAACAATCCCATGAAAAACTGGGCAAAGAACATGAACAAACACTTTTCAAAAGAAGACATAAATGCAGCCAAAAAGCATAGGAAAAAATGCTCAACATCATCAATCATTAGAAAAATGCAAATTATCTATCTCAAAATTACCTCTTGGTGCCTTGTCAAGCCACCCCACCCCACCTCACCCCTCCAAAAAGTACGTGTAATATGTATGTTTTAACACCTCTTTTGGGCTGGTATGTGTGTGTATGTACGTATGTGTTTTGATTACTGGATAAAAGAGTCATACATCAGCCGGGCGCAGTGGCACGTGCCTGTAATCCCAGCTACTCGGGAGGCTGAGGCAGGAGAATTGCTTGAACCCGGGAGGCAGAGGTTGCAGTGAGCTGAGATTGCCCCACTGCACTCCAGCCTGGGAGACAGAGCAAGACTCCATCTAAAAAAAAAAAAAAAAAGTCATACCATGACCAAGCAGAACTGACTATTGAAGGTTTTCTTAGCTGCTTGGAGAAATTGCAGATACATCTATCTGAATCTGAGAACTGATTGGGATTTGGTATGTGAACAACTGGAGAGAACCATACACTTTATAATTAATATTATATCCAGTGATTTCAAATAATATGATAGATTTTGCTGATACAGTACTGCTGTCTGTGTTCCTACTCATACACTTACCTGGTTACAGATGTTAGGTCAAGATGAGGTCTGCATCTAATCCTGTATAAGAGCAAAGATTTTTCATAGGGTGCTGTGAGGGCTTTGCTAACTTTATTTTGTCCGAATGGCCAGAAAAAGGATGCTCTAATGGAAATAGCAAACCCGTATCATTAAACTCTTTAGAAACAAATAAACTGGTTTAATAGGCAAAAAAAAAAAAAAAAAAAAAAGAAAGAAAAATGCAAATTAAACCCACAATGAGATACCATCTCCCACCAGTCAGAATGGCTATTATTAAAAGTCAAAAAGTAACAGATGCTTGTATGTTTGGGGACAACAGGGAACATTTATGCAATGATCATGGGAAAGTAAATTAGGTTAGTCATTGTGGAAACCAGTTTGGTGATTTCTCAAATAAAACAGAATTACCTTCTGACCTAGAAATCCCATAATTGGGTATATACCCAAAGGAATACAAATCATTCCATCATAAAGACCCATGCATATACATGTTCAGCACAGCACAAGTAACCATAACAAAGACATGGAATCAACCTAAGTACCCATCAATGGCAGACTAGATGAAGAAAATGTTATATACATATATATGTGTATACACACACACACGTACACATATATGTATATACACACACACATATATATACACAAATATATACATATACACATATATGTATATATATGTATGTGTACACACACATATGCACACATGCACACACATATACACATGCATACATACATACATACCATGGAATTCGATGCAGCCATAAAAAAGAATGAGATCATGTCCTTTGCATCAACATGGATGGAGCTGCAACCTGGGAAATACCGTTTTGGACATAAAAGGCAGCAGGCCAGTATCCTAAGCAAACTAACACTGGAACAGAAAACCAAATTCCAAATGTTTTCACTTATAACTGGGAGCTAAACTTTGAGTACATTAGGATATAAAGAAGGGAACAACCTAGACTGGAACCTACATGAAGGTGGAAGCTGGGAGGAGGGTGAGGATGGAAAAACTGCGTATAAAGTACTGTGCTTATTACTTGGGTGACAAAATAATTTGTACACCAAACATCTGTGAAACACAATTTACCTATTAAACCTACATATTTACCCCTGAACCTAAAATAAAAGTTGAAAAAAATTAAAAATGGGAAATCAGGATTGTGTACTGATATTAATAAAGTTTAAAATCTGAAAAATGTCCTGTTGACTTGGATGTATTTTTTTGTAGTGTTATATCCATTAAATGGCTTCAGAAAGGCAAACTTCTGTTTTAAAAACCATACTTATTTGAATAGTATTAGTCATTAGCTTTGAAAAGAATAATATTTTTATACCTATGAGATTTATTAGTATGCTGATTCCTGGATATTTTTGCTTTTTATTATTTTTGGAGTCATGATGTTAAGTGACAAAATGACTGGAGATAGTTTTAAAAATTTTGTATTATTGCAGCTGAAACCAAAACTAAGAAAAGTACTCTTAGTACAGGCTGTTAGCTAAGGAGATGTCTTTGGTTCTGTAATGTCTGTTCATTAGTGTTTAAATAACAAATTAGATTTTTAACTTCACAATTAGTTATGTTGAATGGGTGAGACATTTTATCCCATACATTTATAAACTCAAAAATAATGGGTTGCATCATCTTCATTTTTCTATACTGAACTGAATTCTAAAATAAATGCTCTGGATGGGAGAAATGTGGAAGTTACTTTGGAACTGGATAATAAGTAAAGGCTGAAAGAGTACTGATATACATGCTAAATAAAACCAATATTTCCCTGAATGAACTATTCAAAGCAATTCTGGTGGGTGTTAGACAGGACATAGAGACCTGGAGAAGAAGCTCCCATTTTCATAAAGAACACAAACAATCATGTATAGAATGTTGGTAGAAATATGAATGGTGAAGGTCAATGTAATGAAGTCTTAGATGGGAATAAGAAAGGTTATTAGACAAGGGAGAAAAGGTAATCCTTGTTATAAAGTGGCAAAGAACTTGGCTGAATTGTATTCATGTTCTAGTGCTTTCTGGAATATAGAACTTGCAAGAAATAAAGATAGATATTTAGCTGAGATTTCTAAGCTAAGTATTGAAGGAACAGCTTGGTTACTCCTGACTGATTATAATAAAATGTAAGAAGAAAGAAACATATTGAAGACGGAGTTGTTAAACAAAAATGAGCAGAAAAATACTTAGAGATTTCTCAGCCTATACATATGCAACCTATCCATATTGCAGCCTATTCATATTGCAAATTGCCCAACAACTGTTTGATAAAAGGATCAGTATGGGTGTGAAGCACAGTCTTAATCAGCCACCCCAGCAGAAACACTGCTAATTTGAACTGAAGGAAGACATGATAGGATGAAAGAAGGCCATCAGACTTTTTAGATACTATAGGACCAGATTATAGAGCTATTTGGCTGTAAAATGTGTGCTATTCTTCAGGACAAGAGAAGTATGCCAAAGATGATCTCTGTATTAAGGCTGCCACTCCAGCCACAGATCCAGAGTGTTGAACCTGGGGAGCAGGATTACCTCCACCTTGGTTTCAAAGAGTGGGACTACTAATAGCACAGGCATGAGGGTAGGGCTACTCATATTTGTGGGGGCATAATCCAACCTCAGTGAGTCCTGTAGGCAGAATCACCACCCCAGTGAGTCTGGAAGGCAGAACGTAGAGCCAAAGAGGATTATCATTGAGTTCTAGGAACTCATATTGTTTGCTGTTATAGGTTTTAGATTTGTGTAGAACCTGTTATCCCTTGCTTCTTCCCTAATCTTTTTTACAAAATGGGAATGTCTATTCCGTGCCCATCCCATCACTGCATTTGAAAGCATATAACTTTTTTGGTTTCATAGATTCACATCTGGAGAGAAATTTTGCTTCAGGATTGTATCTTGAGTTTCACCCATATCTGTTCTAGATAATATTTACATGAAACTTTGAACTACAGATGTTAAAGTTGATGGTGGAAGGAGTTAGGACTCTTGGAGCAGTCGGGATAGAATGCAATTCTTTTGCCTATGAGAAAGACATGAATTTTAAGAGGTAAGTGGTGGAATGATATGGACTGAATATTTGTATTCCCAGAAATGTATATGTTGATGTCTAATTCCCTATGTGATAGTAATTGGACGTGAGGATTTTGAAAGGTATCAAAACTTTTTTGCTTACTTAAAACTTTTAAATTGTTTTCAGCTTTAAGATATAATTGACTAACAAAAATTGTATATATTTAACATGAACAACTTGATATTTTGATATATGCATATATTGTGAAATAATCACTTCAATCAAATTAATTAACATATCAATCACCTCACATAGTTACCATTTCCTTTTCTATTTTTTTCATGTGTGTGCGTGTGTGTGTGTGTGGCAAGAACTCTTAAGGTTTACCCTCTTAAAAACTTTTAAATATACCAGCAATGTTGTTAACTATGGTGAGTGTGCTTATGCTATACCTTAGCTCTCCAGAAATTATTCATCTTGCATAACTGACAATGTGTACTCTTTGACCAAAGTCTTCCCATTTCCCTCTCCGCCAAGCCTCTGATACCATCATTCTACTATCTGTTTTTATGAGTTTGATTATTTCATATTTCACACATAAGAGAGATGATGCATTATTTTTATTTCTGTGCTCGGTTTATTTTATTTAGCATAATGTCTTACAGGTTTATTTTATTTTATTTTATTTTATTTTATTTTATTTTATTTTATTTTGTTTTATTATTTTATTTTTGAGACAGAGTGTTGCTCTGTCACCCAGGCTGGAGTGTAGTGGCATGATCTCAGCTCACCGCAACCTCCGCCTCCTGGGTTCAAGCGATTCTCCTGTCTCAGCCTCCCGAGTAGCTGGGATTACAGGTGCACACCACCAAGCCCGGCTAATTTTTGTAGTTCTAGTAAAGACAGGGTTTCACCGTATTGGTCAGGCTGGTCTAGAACTCCTGACCTCAGGTGATCCAACCGCCTTGGCCTCCCAAGTGTTGAGATTTCAGGCTTGAGCCACTGTGCCGGGCCAACAGGTTTATGTCGTTGATACAGCACTTTTGTTTTCTTTTTTTTACATTTCTTTTCTTTTTTTCCCCCAAGGTCTTGGTGTAATTTTAGAATTCACTTCAACTTTGGATTCAGCTAATACATGCCATTACATCATTGACCAATGTTGTATATATAGCACATTTAAAAAAATCAATTCATCCATTGATGGACGGTTAGATTGTTTACATATCTCAGCTATTGTGAATAAAGCTGCAATGAATGTGAGAGTGTTAATGTCTCTTCCAGATCCTGGTTTCAATCATTTTGGATATATACACATAAGTGAGATTGCTAGATCATATGGTAGGTAGTTGTATTTTTTACTTTTTAAGGAGCCTCCATACTGTTTTCCATAACAGCTGCACCAACTTTGCCAACAACAGCATAGAAAAGTTCCCTTTTCTTCACACCTTGACCATCACTTTCTATATTTTGTTTCTTGATAGTAGCCATTCTAACAGGCATGAGGTAATATCTCATTGTGGTTTTGATTTGCAGTTTTCTGAGAATTAGTGATGTTGAACACCTTTTTTTATACTTATTGGCCATTCGTATGTCTTCTTTCAAGAAATGTCTGTTCAGGTCATTTATCCATTTTTAATAGGGTTTTTTTTGGTATTGAGTTTATGAGTTCCTTATATATTTTGGATATTATTCCCTTATCAAATATATGGTTCGCACATATTTTATTCTATTTTATACGTTGTCTTTTCACTTTCTTGATTGTTTCCTTTGCTGTGCCAAAGTTTTTTATTTTGATGTAGTATCACTGGTCTATTTTTTTTTTTGCTTTTGTTGCCTCTGCATTTGATGTTATGTTCAATTATTGTCAAGATCAATGTCAAGAATCTTTCTTCTTATGTTTTCCTCTAGTCGTTTTATGGTTTCACCTCTTAAGTGTAAGTCTTTAATTCATGCAAAGATGTCATCAAAATACAAAAATCAGTGGTTTCTATGCAGTAGTAATGAACTATCTGAAAAAATTAACAAAACAATACCATTTAAAATAGCAAAAAATATACTTAGGAATAAACTTAAAGAAGTGAAAGGTTTTTACACTGAAAATAATAAAAGAATTATGTAAAAAATTAAAGAAACCACAGGTAAATGCAAAGATGCTCCATGTTTATTGATTTGAATAACTAATATTGTTAAAATGTCCATACCACTCAAAGGTATCACAGATTTACTTTAATCCCTATCAAAGTCCCAGTGGTATTCTTTTTAGATATATAAAAAATAATCTTAAAATTCACATGGAATCAGAAAGGCCCCCAAATAGCCAAAGTAATCTTGAACAAGAATACAGAGAGAGGCATCACACTTGCTAATTTCAAAACATATTAAAAATGTACATTTGTCAAAACAGTTGAGTACTGGCACAACAACAGACATAGACACATGGAAAAGAATAGAGATCTCAGAAAAAAATCTACACATTCACAGTCAGCTGATCTTTGACAAGGGTGAATGAATAGACAATGAAGAAAGAATAGTCTCTTTAATAAATGGTCTTGGAAAAATTTGATATCTTCATGCAAGATTATGAAATTGGACCCTTATACCACATACAAAATTTAAGTTAAAAATATAGCATGATTCAGATGTTTTGTGGTTGGAAGTAATAATAAATACGTGTTTTAAAATGCCTCTGCAGCTTTGGCACCATAACATTTTTGTAACGTAAAATAAAAAGCATGGTCATTGTAAAAAATCAAAGAATATGTACATGCTGGTTGCTACAGATACTGTCACAAGTGCCAAGAAGCTGAATTGGCAAGTTAGTAATGGGTGTGCCGGCAGATAGGAGGGGATGCAGAAAACCAGCAAGAAATGATGCTTGTGTCTGTTTGGCCTACTGTCAACATTCCAGACAGCAAGAAAGTGGGTGGCAGGTAAAGTGAGCTGTCCTTTAATATTCAGTATTGTAGATCCAAGTGTTTTGAGATAATACTTTGTAGAGCTATGTTTGATATCTTTTAATATACGACATCCCTTTTGAAGAAGAAAGCACAGCTTTCATCACATAAAGGCATCAACTTCTAAAAAAAAAAAAAAGAAAAAACAAACAAAAAGTGAAACCTCTGATCCAGTAATGGTTCATTTATCTGGAAACTGATTCAGAAAGTTTGGAGTTATCCCTAGAATTGTGAATTACACAATGATAAGGCAAAATTAATGAGATATACAACCTCTAACACTGAGATATTTCGAGTGAAGCACAGCTTTTGATAGTGGACTCACATAGAAACAGTGGTTCATGTCTGAAGCCATTTATTTTAAAGAATCTTCAGAATTTTTTTTTTTTTTTTTTTTTTTTTTTTTTTTGAGACGCAGTCTCTCTCTGTAGCTCAGGCTGGAGTGCAGTGGCGTGATATGGGCTCACTGCAACCTCTGCCTCCTGGATTCAAGAGATTCTCCCGCCTCAGCTTCCTGAGTAGCTGGGATTACAGGCGTGTGCCACCACACCCAACTAATTTTTGTATTTTCAGTAGAGACGGGTTTCACCATGTTAGCCAGGCTGGTCTCCAACTCCTGACCTCAGGTGATCCGCCCACCTCGAGCTCCCAAAGGGCTGGGATTACAGGTGTGAGCCACCCAGCTGGTTGAGATAAATTTTTGTAAAAGACATAGGTGTAGGGCTCTCTAGTTTTCAGAAAACCATCAGGTTACAGAACACCTGGAATAAAAAGAAGTATTTATTTGTTAGTTGCCCTGAAAAAAAATTTTTCTTTAATACTAAGAGCATTTAATTATCTACAGGTGAAGAATTTACAAAATTTTGGTATATCAATGTGGATTATACAGACGAAGTGGAAAAAAGAAATGTATCAGATTTTTGACAAGGTTTTAATTTTCTTCAGGAATCTGGACTTAAAAATTGGCCCTTATTCAGAGAAGAAAAAACTGTTTCAGAGAACTAGTGACAATTTAAGAATGATAAAGAGCACTTGGCTGGATAACTGAAAAAATATTCTAACATTTTCCCTAGCAAATAGCATGCGCCTTTTTGTTCCTCTGTTTGTTTTTGAGCACACAGTTACAAATGCAAAACACAAAATATTTCTTGCTGATACTCAGAATTTGTTTGACTTCATAACTTCAATTTCATATTTCTTCCTATTTTGAGCTCTAGAAAAGAATTTATAGAACAACTGTAAATTATAAAATTTAAAACATTTTAACAGGATAGGTTACGGTGAAATAATTTGATGGGTGATATCATGTAGTACTCAATATTAACCTGATATTTTGAAAAGGAGGGAGAAAGTTTTCATAGCATCCATATGTCTTTATTTGAGGTTTATGCTCTACTTTATAACAGTTTCTCTGTTACCTTTTCATTATTTTAGAGCAAATTTGCAGATTAAATTTCAATGCAATAATTGTGCATCTGTTCCAAAGAACATACGTATAATGAAATAATTGTAGACAGATTTTTTAATGTATTAGTGACTTCAATTTTATTTGCTTTAATTCCATTGGCTTCCAATGGCCATGGAAGTACACTTTGGAAATATTGTTGAGGACTACAATCTGACTTTATTTTTGACAATATGAATTACATAATTTAAACAGAAGCCATTCTTCTTGATAAAATGTCATTGAAATTAATACACATTACATATTAAAAAGGGAAAATTAATGGATTCATATTTTTCTCTCCAATTTTGCAGCTCTGAAGTAAGCAAATTTAACTATTTGGTGTACAACATTTTTTGTGTTTTTCTAAACATAAATGTGCCTATTTTTCCCAAACGTAGATTATAAAAGAAATATTTTTGGTCACTTCCTTTTGCCTATAAATATGCTAATATTTCTCTATCAATATATATTTTTCACTCTAACAAAATAAATAGTTGTAGAATTTTACTTAATATGAACATTGAGTAGCATATTTTTCCATACGCCTGTTGATGGATATTTGGTTTGATTCAAATACTTCTCCTATAAGTATTGCTGCAATTAATTTTCTGATGCATTTTGTAAAAAACAGATGGAAAATATGAGAAATGTGTGAAAAGATAAGATAAAAATGAGAAAAATAAGGGCGGTATGAAAAGGAAAGAAAATAAAAAGCTTAGAAGCAAAACTAAATATTAATTATCATATTTCATGGAATCTAAATTTCCAATCATTTTCAGATTTACTATTATCTTATGTACCATCCAGAAAGAAAAAGTACTGGGAATTAACTCTGGCATAATTATCCCTTATCAAAATAGAATTTGAAAAATATGGACCTTCAATTACGGAATAAATATTTATGTAGTACATAAGATATCTCTTGTATAGTTTGTATTAAAATGAAACAGCATAATTTATCTACTCTTTTTATTTACCTTGTAGATATAGGCCTTGGAGTGATTAATGTTTCAAGATATTCTAAATAAAAAATAAGCTTCTGACTGAGACAGAATGTTAAAATTTAAGTGCAAATACATAATTTTTACGCTGAATTGCTTTAATTTTAATCTTTAAATTACAAAGCAAAACATAATTACAATGAGGGCCTTTTGTAAGCAATAATAAAACTGTTAAAAAGAAAGGACTATTAGAGGAAAGCACTTTCTGAGAACAATGCTAAGCAATTTTATGGTATTGTTATACATGCCCATAAATTGTATTGATCATCTTTTTCAACTTCTTTGCTATCTATGTTTATATCTTCTTACACAGGGACATCTCACATTCAGGTGATTAGTATATGTATATATAATATACATATCATTTATCAGGATATAATATAAAGTTACAATAATTAAGAATATGGATGTGCAATTAGACCAATAAAATGGAATAGAAACCTTAGATATTTTAAAAATATTTATTTATGACATGCATGACCCTGAAGTTCAATGAAGAAAAAATATAATCTCCAATTAATATTATTGAGTCACTTGGATATTAATATGCAAATAATGGATCCTGATTTCTATATGACATTATGCACAAAGTGATTATAGGTCACAATGTGAGGAATAAAAGGAAGAATATCCAGGAGAAAACATTTATACCTTTATGAATTTAGAATGTGAAAATATTTTAAAAATGGAACACAAAAAACACTAAATGTAAAGAAAAATATATGCATCTACATATTGAAACTAGACTTCATTAAAATTAAAGATATATGTTTACCATTGGACATTAAGAGAGTATAAAAACAAGTTCTAGTGTGGGAAATATTTTCAAGAAACATATCTGTAAAAGGACTCATTCATAATACATAAAGAACTTCCACAAATCCATTAGTAAAAGATAGACAACTCAGTGATAAATGAGTAAAACTCTGGAATAGTTAATTCTCAAAAGAGGATGTTTACATGGCTAATGAATATATGTAAAGATGCTTAACATTATTGGTCGTAATTGTTGGAGCAGATCAAATATATTGTATAATTTATTTGCAAAAGTTTTCAATAGAGAAAAAACTAATCTATACTGTAGGTAAAACCCGAAAGGTTCCCTTGTTCCCCTCGCAGGGTGTGCGATGGGGGTGTGGCTCCCTTCTACAGTGCCCCCGCTGCTCAAACCTCTAGCGGAGCATACAGCGGGGCAAGTTGTGGGGCTTCGACCCCAAGGCAGTGTGGGTGTGTGTTACAGTGTGCTCTATTAGTTTGCTGTCTATAGGCGGTTTGTGTTAATCAGCTCAATTGGACCCCTTTCTTTATCAAAAGGACAGAGGGATTTCTGCAGCTCTCTGCCCAATGAGGGAGCCAGAAGGGAGATGGTTTTCCCCTGGAGTCTGGCCGCACTTCTCCAACTGCCCCAGCCAAACTCCACATCCTCCCGCCAGTCGTGCCAGTGCCTGTCAGTGTGGTCTTCGTGTGGTCTTCTGCCAGCGTACTCCTCTCCAAGTCCACAGAACAACCAGACTCTTGTGTCTTCTTCTGCCGACGTGCTCTTTGGCCAATGTGCATCTCTCAACGTCTGGCTGCCTGTGTGTCTGCCCGCTAGGGTCTTGGGTTTTTATAGACCCAGGATGGAGGTATGGGAGGCCACGGTGGTCTTGGGAAATGCAACATTTGGGCAGGAAATGCTTGTCCTCACCTAGGTCTGAAGGGGTGGAGCCCTATCCGGGGACCCGCCTTTCTCTACCCAGCACTTCCCTTCCCGTTTCTGTATCATTTAAAGGGACCATGTTCTTCCCTTCCCAGCACTCCCATATCATTAGCAGTCAAGAAAATTGTTAGCTTTGGAAGCATTAAGGTGGACTTGAGTGCTGTAATGTTTACTCTATTGACCCAGGTTCTGGGTATCTGTGGATGTTTACTTTATTAAAAAATATTGAGATGTATACTTACTATTTGTGGGGTTTTTTTTTGTATACAGAGATTAATGAACAGTTTTAGATCACCACAAAAACAATGACATGATGATTCGTTAGTGCTTACTATGAACCAGGCATTATTCCAAGTGATTTACATAAATTGACTCATTTAATGCTACCAACCTTATGAGGTAAGCGATTTTCCTCAATTTAGCTGAGTGAAATGAGGTTATAGTAGTTAAGTAACTTACCTAAGGTTATGCAGCTAATGACTTGTGAAGTCAAAATTGAAATTCCTATAGCCTAACTACAAAGCCTAAGTTCTTAACCACCATACTATAACTCAGAATGTAATTGTACGTTTTTATGTTAATTTTTCAATTTAAAATTTTGCCTAGTCAACAATTGCATATAAATTAATATATCTAAATAGAAGCTTTTTGCTTTTGATTGTTTTGTTTTGTTGTAATGCAGTTTCTAAGAACAGGTTATCAATCTTACTTTTAGATTCATAACTAGAGAAATCTTCTATCATGGAATTGAAGTAGATAAATGAAACAACTTGTATCTACTTTTACTCTTAGAAGCAAAATGTTCAGAAAGGTATTTTCTGACTTTATTATAACTAGTTTTCACTTTGTCTACTTTTTTTCTTTATTTTAAAATTTTTAATGTTTAAGTTTTGTGAGTACATAGTAGATGTATATGTTTATGGGGTATATGAGATATTTTGATACAGGCATGCAATGCATAACAATCACATGGGAGTAAATGTGGTATCAGTCACCTCAAGTATTTATCTTTTCTGTGTTTTACAAACAATCCCATGATACTCCTTTAGTTATTTTAAAATGCACAATAAATTATTGTTGACAAGTCATTACCAGCCTCTAATACCCATCATTTTGCTCTCTATCTACATGAATTCAATTGTTTTAATTTTAGCTCCTACAACAAATAAGTGAGGATATGCCAAGTTTGTCTTTCTGTGCCTGACTTATTTCACATAACATAATGACTTCCAGTTCCATTCATGTTGTTGCAAATGACAGGATCTAATTCTTTTTTAATGGCTGAATAGCACTCCTTTGTATATATGTTCCACATTTTCTTTATCCATTCATCTGTTGATGGACTCTTAGGTTGATTGGAAGTCTTGGCTACTGTAAACAGTGCTGTAAAAAATGTAGGAGTGCAGATATTTCTTCGATATACTGAATTCATTTATTTTGGGTATATACCAAGCAGTGAGATTGCTGGATCACATGGTAGCTCTATTTTTAGTTTGTTGAGGAATCTCCAAATTGTTCTCTGTATTGGTTATACTAATTTACATTCCCCAGAGTTTACAAGCATTCCATTTTCTCCACATCCTTGTCAGCATTTGTTATTGCCTGTCTTTTGCATACAAGCCATTTTAGCTGGAGTGAGATGATACCTCTTTGTAGTTTTGGACTTGCATTTCTCTTATGATCAATAATGCTGAGCAGATTTACATGCCTGTTTGCCATTTGTATGTCTTCTGTTGAGAAATGTTTACTCAGATATTTTTACCACTTTTAAAACAGATTATTATACTTACTCCTAGAGTTTTGTTAGCTCCTTATATTTTTTGGTTTTTAATTCCTTGCCAGGAAGATAGTTTGAAGATATTTTCTCCCATTCTGTGGGTTGTCTCTACACTTTGTTCACTTTGTCCTTTGCTGTGCTTTTGAACTTAATGTGCTTCCATTTGTACATTTTTGCTTTGGTTGCCTGTGCTTGTGGGTGTTTTTTTCAAGAAATTATTGTTCAATTTAATCTCTTAAAGAGTTTCCCAATTTTTTTTCAGTAGTTTCGTAGTTTGAGGTCTTAGATTTAAGTCTTTAAATCATTTTGATTTAATATTTGTATATGGTGAGATACAGGAATTTAGTGTCATTTTTCTGCCTATGAATATTCAGTTTTCCACCTATGAATATTCAGTTTTCCCAGCACAATATTTTGAAGAGACTATCCTTTCCCCAATGTACATTCTTGGCATTTTTGTTGAAAATGAGTTGAATGTAGATGTATAACTTTATTACTGGGTTCTCTGCTCTGTTCCATTGATTCATGTGTCTGTTTTTATGCCACCACCATGCTATTTTGCCTACTATAGCTCTGCATTATAATTTGAAGTCAGGTAATGTGATTCCTCCAGTTTTGTTCTTTTTGCTCAGGATAGCTTCAGCTACTCTGGGTCTTTTGTGATTCCATATTAATTTTACAATAGTTTCTGTGAAGAATGCCATGGTAATTTGGTAAAAATTGCATTGAATCTGTAGAATGTTTTGGGTAGTACAGACATTTTAACAATATTGATTCTTCCAATCGGTGAATGTGGAATACCTTTCCATTTTTTTTGGTATTCTCTTCAATTTTTTTGAAAGTGCTTTATAATATTCATTGTAGAGATTTTTCACTTCTTTGGTAAGTTAATGCCTAGGTATTTTATTTTATTTGTAGCTATTTTAAATGGAATTACTTTCTTGATTTCTTTTTCAGATTGTTTGCTTTTGGCATATAGAAATGCTCCTGATTTTCACATGTTAATTTTGTTTCCATCAACATTGTGGAATTTATCACTTCATATATATATATATACACACACATACATATACATATATATACACACACATATATACATATATATACACACATATATATACACATATATATACACATATATATACACATATATACACACATATATACACATATATATACACATATATATATACACATATATATATACATATATATATATATACATTTTTTTATGCTGAAGTCTTTAGGTTTTTCCAAATACAAGATCATATTGTCTGCAAACAAGGATAACTTGCTTCTTCCTTTCCAATTTGTATGCTCTTTCTTTCTCTTGTCTGATTACTGTAGCTATAACTTCCACTACTATGTTGAATAATGGTGGTGAAAGTGGACATCCTTTTCACATTCCAGTTCTTAGAGGAAAGGCTTTCAGTATTATACCAGCTGTGGTTCTGTCATACATGGGTTTTACTGTGTGACGTTATGGACCTTCTATACCCAGATTTTTGTGGATTTTTATCGTGAAAGTACGTTGAATGTTATCTAGTGGTTTTCCAGCATCAATTGAAGTGATCATATAGTTTTTTTCCCTTCATTCTGTTGATATGAATTATCACATAGACTGTTTTGCATATGTTGAACCATGCTTGCCTCCCAGGGATAAATCCCACTTATCATGAATAATCATGAAGATCATGAAAAAATGATCTTTCAGTATGTTGTTCAATTTAATTGGCTAGTATTTTGGTAACCATTTTGCATCAATGTTCAAGAGGGATATTGACAGGTAGATTTTTTTATGTTTCTTTGTCTGATTTTGGCATCAGGGTAGTATTTACTTCATAGAATGAGTTTAGAAGTATTCCCTCCTTTGTTATTATTTTACTAGCTTGGGTGCAAGTGATATAACCTCTTCTTTAAATGTTTTGGTATAATTCAGCAGTGAAAACATTGGGTTCCAGGATTTTCTTTGCTGGGAGAGGTTTCTATTTTATTTTATTTTTTCTGTGGCTTCAATCTCATTATGTATTTTTGATCTATTAAGATTTTGAATATATCCATGGTTCAAATTTGGTAGGTTGTATGTATCTAGATATTTATCAATTTTTTGTTAGTTTTGACAATTTACTGGCATATAGTTGCTCATAGTAGCCCCTAATAATCATTTGAATGTCTGCAATATCAGATGTAATGTCTAATGTCTAATTTTTTATCTCTGAATTTATGTCTTCTTTTTTTTTTAACTTAGTCTGGCTAAAGGTTTGTTGATTTTGTTTATCTTATCAAAAAACTTACTTTTTATTTTGTTAGTCTTTGTATTTTTTTCTTTATTTCAATTTCATTTATTTCTCCTTATTTTCTTCTAATAATGTTGGGTTTGGATTGCTCTTCTTTTCTAATTCTTTAAGGTACATGATTAGATTGTTTATTTGTAGTTTTTAAATTTTTCATGTAGGCACTTATAGTGATAACCTGTCCTTTTAATGTCCTCTTTAGTGTATCCGACAGGTTTTGGTATGTTGTGTTTCTGTTTTCATTTGCTTGAAGACATTTTTAAATTTTCTTCCTAATTTCTTTATTGATACACTGGTTATTCAGCAGCATATTTTATAATTTCCATGTGTTCACAAAATTTCCAAAATTATTATTCTTATTGATCTATAGTTTTATTCAATTTTCTTCAGAGAAGATGCTTAATATAGTTTCATTATTCCTCAATTTTTAAGACTTGTTTTATGGATAATGCATGGTCTATTCTTGAGAATGATCCATGTGCTTTAAAGAAGACTATGTATTTTGCAGTTGTTGGATGAAATGGTCTGTAAATATTTATTAGGTCCATTTGGTCTATAATGCAAATTAAGTCTAATTTTTTTTTCCTGCCTGGATGATCTGTACAACATGAAAAGTAGGGTGCTGAAGTCCCCAGCTATTATTGTACTGGAGTCTATCTCTTTACCTCTAATAATGTTCACGTTATGTATCTGGGTGCTCCAGTGTTATGTGAATATATGTTTAAAAGTATTAACCTCTTGCTGATTTGATCTCTTTATAATTATATAATGACCTCCTTTATCATTTTTATTGTTTTTGCCTTAAAATATATTTTGTCTAATGTAAGTATAGCTACTTCTAATTTTTTTTGGTTTTCATTTGCCTGGAATATCTTTTTCTATTTTTTTTTATTTTTAGTCTATGTGTGTCCCTATAGGTGAAGTATGTTTCTTGTAGGCAACAGAGTGTGAGCCTTATTTCATTATCCATTAAGCCACTCTATACTACTTGATTAGAGTGTTGAGTCCATTTATATTCTTTGTTATGATTGATATGTAATAGCATGCTCCTGGCATTTTATGTGTTGTTTTCTGGTTGTTTTGTGATCTTTCCTTCCTCTTTTCTTTCCTTCCTGTCTTTCTTTAAGTGAAGGTGATTTTCTATGACGGTATGGAACATGGTTTGGCTCTGTGTCCCCACACAAGCCTCACCTTGAATTGTAATCCCCATAATCACCATGTGTCAAGAGTGTGAAGAGGTGGAGGTAATTGAATCATGGGGGAGGTTCTCCCATGCTGTTCTCGTGATAATGAGTGAATTTCATGAGATCTGATGGTTTTATAAGCATCTGGCATTTCTCCTGCTTGTATTTATTCTCTCTCCTGCTGCCCTGTGAAGAGGGGCCTTCTAACATAATTGATAGTTTCCTGAGGCCTCCCCAGCCATGTGGCACTCTGAGTCAATTAAAACTAATACAGTGTTTTAATTTCTTGCATTTTACTTTTTGTATACTTGTTGTATGTTTTTTGATTTGAGGTTTCCACAAGGCTTGCAAATGTTACATTATACCATATTATTTTAAACTGATGACAACTTAAATCATATTGCATAAAAAGCAAGGAGAAAACTAATAAATAATGTACAATTTAACTTCATGCCCCCATTTCCTGTTTCTTATCTTTTTATATTATAACCTATTATTTTAAACTGATGACAACTTAAATCATATTGCATAAAAAGCAAGTTAGAAAACTAATAAATAATGTACAATTTAACTTCATGCCCCTCTTTCTTATCTTTTTGTTGTTTCTTTCTTTTCTTTGTTTTTTTTTTTTTTTTTGTTGTTGTTGTTGTTGAGATGGAGTTTCACTCTTGTTGCCCAGGCTTGAGTGCAATGGAGCGATCTCTGGCTCACCACAACCTCTGCCTCCTGGGTTCAAGCAATTCTCCTGCCTCAGCCTCCCAAGCAGCTGGGATTACAGGCATGTGCCACCACACCCGGCTAATTTTGTATTTTTAGTAGAGATGGGGTTTCTCCATGTTGGTCAGGGTGGTCTTGAACTCCCAACTTCAGGTCATTCGCCCACCTCGGCCTCCCAAAGTGCTGGGATTACAGGCGTGAGCCACCTCGCCCGGCTTGTTGTTTCTGTTTATATCTTAGTGTACTGTCTATGTCCTGAAAATTTGTTGTAGCTATCATTTTTATTGGTTTACATTTTAGTCTTTCTACTCAAGATATGAGTAGTTTACACACCACAATTGCAGTGTTATAGTAATTAGCGTTTTTGTTTTGTTTTGTTTTATTTGTTTGATTGTTTTTGAGATTGAGTTTTGCACTTGTCGCTCAGGCTGGAGTGCAATGGTGCAATCTCAGCTCACTGCAACTTCCACCTCCCAGGTTCAAGCAATTCCCTGCCTCAGCCTCCTGAGTAGCTGAGATTATCAGAACCCACTACCAAGCCCAGTTAACTTTTGTATTTTTAGTAGAGATGAGGTTTCACCATGTTGGCCAGGCTGGTCTCAAACTCCTGACCTCAGATCATCTGCCCACTTGGGTCTCTCAAAGAGCTGGGATTACAGGCATGAGCCACCAAGGCTGGCCATCAGTGTTTTATTTTTTAAAGTATTTATTCTTACCTGTGAGTTTTGTACCATCAAATAATTTCTTATTGCTCACTATTGATTTTTTATTTTTAATTGAAGAACTTTTTTTAGCATTTCTTGTAGGACAGATCTGGTGTTGATAAAATTCCTCTGCTTTTGTTTTTCTGGGAAAATCTTTATTTCTCCTTATGCTTGAAGGAACTTAACTGGATATAATATGCTAGGTTAATTTCTTTATTTTCTTCAGCACTTTAAAAATGTCATTTTTCTCATGGCATGTAAGATTTTTACTGGTGTGAGGTGGTATCTCATTGTGGTTTTGATTTGCATTTCTCTAATGACCAGTGATGATGAGCTCTTTTTATGTTTGCTGGCTGCATAAATGTCTTCTTTTGAAAAGTGTCTGTTCATACCTTTTGCCCACTTTTTGATGTTTTTTTTTCTTATAAGTTTGTTTAAGTTGCTTGTAGATTCTGGATATTAGTATTTTGTCAGGTGGATAGATTGCAAAAATTTTCTCCCATTCTGTAGGCTACCTATTCACTCTGATGGTAGTTTCATTTGCTGTGCAGAAGCTCTTTAGGTTAATTAGATGCCATTTGTCAATTTTGGGTTTTGTTGCTATTGCTTTTGGTGTTTTAGTCATGAAGTCTTTGCCCATGCCTATGTCCTGAATGGCATTGCCTAGGATTTCTTCTAGGGTTTTTATGGTTTTGGGTTTTATGTTAAAGTCTTTAATCCATCTTGAGTTAATTTTTGTATAAGGTGTAAGGAAGGGGTCCAGTTTCAGTTTTCTCCATATAGCTAGCCAGTTTTCCCAACACCATTTATTAAATAGGGAATCCTTTCCCCATTTCTTGTTTTTGTCAAGTTTGTCAAAGATCAGATGGTTGTAGATGTGTGGTGTTATTTCTGAGGCCTCTGTTCTGTTCCTTTGGTCTATATATCTGTTTTGGTACCAGTACCATGATGTTTTCATTACTCTAGCCTTGTAGTATAGTTTGAAGTCGGGCAGCATGATGCCTCCAGCTTTGTTCTTTTTGCTTAGGATTGTCTTGGCTATGAGGACTCTTTTTTGGTTCCATATGAAATTTAAAGTTTTGTTTTCATTCTGTGAAGTAAGTAAAGGGAAGCTTCATGGGAGTAGCATTGAATCTATATTACTTTGGGCAGTATGGCCATTTTCACAATATTGATTCTTCCTATCCATGAGCATGGAATGTTTTTCCATTCGTTTCTGTCCTCTCTTATTTCCTTAAGCAGTAGTTTGTGGTTCTCTTTGAAGAGGTCTTTCACATCCCTTATAAGTTGTATTCCTAGGTATTTTATTCTCTTTGTAGCAATTGTGAATGGGAGTTCACTCATGATTTGGCTCTCTATTTCTTTATTATTGGCGTATAGGAATGCTTGTGATTTTTGCACATTGATTTTGTATCCTGAGCCTTTGCTGAAGTTGCTTATCAGCTAAAGGAGTTTTTGGGCTGAGACGATGGGATTTTCTAAATATACAATTATGTCATCTGCAAACAGAGACAATTTGACTTCCTCTCTTCCTATCTGAATGTCCTTTATTTCTTTCTCTTGCCTGATTGCCCTGGTCAGAACTTCCAATACCATGTTGAATAGAAGTGGTGACAGAGGGCATCGTTGTCTTGTGCTGGCTTTGAAAGGGAATGCTTCCAGCTTTTGCCCATTCAGTGTGATATTGGCTGGGGGTTTGTCATAAATAGCTCTTACTATTTTGAGATATGCTCAATCAATATATTTTTTATTGAGTGTTTTTAGCACAAAGCAGTATTGAATTTTATCAAAGGCCTTTTCTGTATCTATTGAGATAATCAAGTGGTTTTTGTCTTTGTTTCTGTTTATGTGATGAATTACATTTATTGATTTGTGTATGTTGAAACAGCCTTGCATCCCAGGGATGAATCCAACTTGATCGTGGTGGATAAGTTTTTTAATGTGCTGCTGGATTCGGTTTGCCAATATATTGTCGAGGATTTTTGCATCGATGTTCATCAGAAATATTGGCCTGAAATTTTCTTTTTTTTGTTGTGTCTCTGCCACGTTTTGGTATCAGGATGATGCTGGCCTCATAAAATGAGTTAGGGAGGAGTCCCTCTTTTTCTATTGTTTGGAAGTGTTTTAGAAGGAATGGTACCAGCTCCTCTTTGTACCTCTGGTAGAATGTGGCTGTGAATCTCTCTGGTCCTGGGTTTTTTTCATTAGTAGGCTATTAATTACTGTCTCAATTTCAGATCTTGTTGTTGGTCTATTGAGGAATTCAACTTCTTGCTGATTTAGCCTTGTGAGAGTGAATGTGTCCAGAAACTTATCAATTTCTTCTAGATTTTCTAATTTATTTGCATAGAGGTGTTTATAGTATTCTCTGATGGTAGTTTGTATTTCTGTGGGATCAGTGGTGATACCCCATTTATCATATTTTATTGTGTCTATTTGATTCTTCTCTATTTTCTTCTTTATTAGTCTGGCTAGTGGTCTACTTGTTTTGTTGATCTTTTTTAAAAAACAGGTCCTGGATTCATTGATTTTTTGAAGGGATTTTCGTGTCTCTATCTTCTTCAGTTCTGCTCTGATCTTAGTTATTTCTTTTCTTCTGCTAGCTTTTGAATTTGTTTGCTCTTGCTTCTATTGTTCTTTTAATTGTGATGTTAGGGTGTCAATTTTAGATCTCTTCTGCTTTCTCGTGTGGGCATTTAGTGCTGTAAATTTCCCTCTTAACACTGCTTTAGCTGTGTCTCAGAGATTCTGGTACATTGCCTCTTTGTTCTCATTAGTTTCAAAGAATTTATTTATTTCTGCCTTAATTTTGTTATTTACCCAGTAGTCATTTTGGAGCAAGTTGTTCAGTTTCCATGTAGTCATGCGTTTTTGAGGGAGTTTCTTAATCCTGAATTCTAATTTGATTGCACTAACTTTCTCTCTTGTTGATCTGTCTAATATTGACAGTGGGGTGTTAAAGTCTCTCACTATTATTGTGTGGGAGTCTAAGTCTCTTTGTAGGTCTCTAAGAACTTGCTTTATGAATCTGGGTGTTCCTGTATTGGGTGCATATATATTTAGGATAGTTAGCTCTTCTTTTTGCATTGATCCCTTTACTATTGTATAATGCCCTTCTTTGTATTTTTTTGATCTTTGTTGGTTTAAAATATGTTTTAACAAAGATTAGGATTGTAACCTCTGATTTTCTTTTTCTTCCCATTTGCTTGGTAAATCTTCCTCCATCCCTTTATTTTGAGCCTATGTGTGTCTTTGCAAGTGAGATGTGTCTCCTGAATACAGCACACTGATGGGTCTTTACTCTTTATCCAATTTGCCAGTCTGTGTCTTTTAATTGGGTCATTTAGCCCATTTACATTTAAGGTTAATATTGTTATGTGTGAATCAGATCCTATCATTATGATGCTAGCTTGTTATTTTGCCCATTAGTTGGTGCAGTTCCTTTATAGTGTCGATGGTCTTTACATTGTGGTATGTTTTTGCAGTGACTGGTACCGGTTTTTCCTTCCCATATTTTGTGCTTCCTTCAGGAGCTTTTGTGAGGCGGGCCTGGTGGTGACAGAATCTCTCAGCATTTGCTTGTCTGTACAGCATTTTATTTCTCCTTCACTTATGCAGCTTAGTTTGGCTGGATATAAAATTCTGGTTTGAAAATTCTTTTCTTTAAGAATGTTGAATATTGGTCCCCACTCTCTTCTGGTTTGTAGGGTTTCTGCAGAGAGATCCACTGTTAGTCTGATGGGCTTCCCTTTGTGAGTAACCCAACCTTTCTCTCTGGGTGCCCTTAACATTTTTTCCTTCATTTCAACAGTGGTGAATTTGATGATAATGTGTCTTGGGGTTGCTCTTCTTGAGGAGTATCTTTGTGATGATCTCTGTATTTCCTGAATTTGAATGTTAGCCTGTCTTGCTAGGTTGGGGAAGTTCTCCTGGATAACATCCTTAAGTGTATTTTCCAACCAGGTTCCATTTTCCCCATCACTTTCAGGCACACCAATCAAACATAGGTTTGGTCTTTTCACATAGTTCCATATTTCTAGGAGGCTTTCTTCCTTTTCATGCTTTTTTCTCTAATCTTGTCTTCATGCTTTATTTCACTAAGTTGATCTTTAATCTCTGATATCCTTTCTTCTGCTTGATTGATTCAGCTATTGATACTTGTGTATGCTTCATGAAGTTCTTGTGCTGTGTTTTTCAGCTCCATTAGGTCATTTATGTTCTTCTCTAAACTGGTTATTCTAGTTAGCATTTCCTGTATCCTTTTATCAAGAGTCTTAGCTTGCTTACATTGGGTTAGAACATGCTCCTTTAGCTTGGAAGAGTTTGTTATTACCCACCTTCTGAAGCCTACTTCTGTCAATTTGTCAAACTCATTCGCCATCCAGTTTTGTTCCCTTGCTCAGGTGGTGTTGTGATCCTTTTTAGGAGAAGAGGCATTCTGGTTTTGGAATTTTCAGCCATTTTGCACTGTTTTTTGCTCATCTTCGTGGATTTATCTACCTTTGGCCTTTGATGTTGGTGGCCTTTGGATGGGGTTTTTGTGGCCATCCTTTTTGTTGATGTTGATGCTATTGCTTTATGTTTGTTAGTTTTCCTTCTAAGAGTCAGACTCCTCTGCTACAGGTCTGCTGGAGCTTGGTGGAGGTCAACTCCTGACCTGTTTGCCTGGGTATCACCAGCAACCAAAGATTGCTGCTTGCTCTTTCCTCTGGAAGCTTCATCCCAGAGGGGCACTTGCTAGATGCCAGCCAGAGCTCTCCTGTATGAGGTGTCTGTCAACCCCTGCTGGGAAGTGTCTTCCAATCAGGAGGCACAGGTGTTAGGAACCCACTGGAAGAGGCAATCTGTCCTTTAGCAGAGCTCAAGCGCTGTGCTGGGAGATCTGCTGCTCTCTTCAGAGCCAGCAGGCAGGAACACTTAAGTCTGCTGAAAATGTGCCCACAGCCACCCCTTCCCCCAGGTGCTCTGTCCCAGGGAGATGGGAGTTTTATCTATAAGCTCCTGACTGGGGCTGTTGCCTTTCTTTCAGAGATGCCCTGCCCAGAGAGGAGGAATCTAGAGAGACAGTCTGGCTACTGCAGCTTTGTGGTGCTGTTGTGGGCTCTGCCCAGTCCGAACTTTCAGGTGCCTTTGTTTACACTATGAGGGGAACACTGCCTACTGAAGCTCCTATAATGGCAGACACCCCTTCCCCCACCCAGGTCGAGCATCCCAGGTTGACTTCAGACTGATGTGCTGGCAGTGAGAATTTCAAGCCAGTGGATCTTAGTTTGTTGGGTTCCATGGGGGTGGGATCTGCCGAGCAAGACCACTCGGCTCCCTGGCTTCAGCCCCCTTTCCAGGGGAGTGAATTGTTCGGTCTCACTGTCATTCCAGGTGCCACAGTGGTATGAATAAAAACTCCTGCAGCTAGCTTGGTGTCTGCCCAAATGCCCACCCAGTTTTGTGCTTGAAACCCAGGGCCCTGATGGTGTAGGCATCGGAGGGAATCTCCTGGTCTGTGGGTTGCAAAGGCAGTAGGAAAAGCCTAGTATCTGGGTCAGATAGCACCATCCCTCACCCATGACTTCCCTTGGCTAGGGGAGGGAATTCCCTGACCCCTTGAGCTTCCCGGGTGAGGAGACACCCCACCCTGCTTCTGCTTGCCCTCCGTGGGCTGCACCCACTGTCTAACCAGTCCCAATGAGATGAGCTGGGTACCTCAGTTGGAAATGAGAAATCAATCACCTTCTGCATTGGTCTCACTGGGAGCTCCAGACTGGAGCTGTTCCTATTTGACCATTTTTCCCAAGAATCTATCTGATTCTTTTAAATTATTTCAATTTTTTGTTATATTTATGTGATAGGATTCTGAATTTCTTCTGTGTTATCTTGAATTTCTTTGAGTTTTCTGAAAATGCCATTTTGCGTTCTATATCTTAAAGGTAACATACCTCTTTTTTTTTCCAAAATAGATATTTGTTGCATTATTTAGTTTATTTGGTGAAGCCATGTTTTCCCAGATCACCTTGATGCTTGTGCATGTTTATTGGTGTCTTAGTGTAGGAAAGTTAGGTATTTATTGTAGTTTTCATAGTCTGGGCTTGTTTATAACCATCCTTCTTGGGAAGCCTTTCCAAGCATTCAAAAAGACTTGGGTGTTGTAATCTAAATCTATAGTCACTGCAGTCATATCTGCTTTAAGGGGTATCCCAAGCACAATAGCACTGTGGCTCTTACAGATTTTTTTTTTAGTTTACCAGAGACTATTGCTTTTTTTTTTTTTTTTAACTTTCCTTCAAACCTAGACTCTCACTCTGTACTCAGTTGCCTACAGCTGGTGGAGGGGTGAAGCAAGCACCCAATGACCATCACCACTAGGAATACTCTGGGTTAGACGTGAAGCCAATACAGTACTGAGTCTTACCCAAGGCCCATAGTAACAACTGTCTAGCTACTGTTTATGTTTCCTCAAGGCCCTAGTGTTCTACAATAAGCAGGTGGTAAAGCTAGCCACTCTTGTTTCCCTTCACGTTGGCAAGTTCCTTCTGGTTCCGGGCTGGTGCAGAGATGCCGTACAGGGGCCAGGGCCTGAAATTAGAAACCTTGAGAATCTACCTGGGTTCTATTCTACTGCAACTGAGCTGGCATCCAAGCCACAAGACATAATCATTACCACTCTTCCCTCCCCTTTCCTCAAGCAGAGGAGTCTCTCCATAACCACTATCATTCAAGGCCTATGGTGAGTACTGTCTGGCTACCACCAATGTTCATTCAAGCCTCAAGGGCCTCTTCGGTCAGCTTGTGGTGAATGTTATCAGGTCTGGAACTCTCCCTTTAGGACCATGGTTTCCCCTCGGACTGAGGCCAGATCCAGAAATGCCATCCAAGAGCCAAGGCCTGGCATCCAGGACCATAAGAACCCACTTGGTGCTCTACTCCAGGGTGGCTGAGCTGGTAGCTAAGCTTCATAATAAAGTCCCCTTTACTATTTCCTCTCCTTTTCTCAAGCAGAAGGAACCCCTTTCTATTGTTACCATACCTGGGGATGTGCTGGTTCACATCTGAAACCAGCAAGTCTCGAAGTCTCATCCAAGGCTCAAGGTGGGTACTGCCTGGGTACCACTGCTAATTATTCATGGTCCATAGGCTGTTTAGTCAGTATGTGATGAATCCTGTCAGGAATGAGTGCTTCCCTTCTAGGTAGCAGGTTCACCTCTGGTCCAGGGTGTATTTAGAAATGTCATCCAGGTGCTAGGGCCTGGAATAGGAGCCTCAGGACCTGGCAGGTGCTCTATCTTTCTGTGGTTGAGCTGGTATCCAAGTTGCAAGATAAAGTTTTCTTTACTCTTCACACTACTCTCTTCCAGCAAAGAAAAAGTCTCTCTTGGACCTGCAAGCTGCACTTTCTGGGGTTGGGGGAGCAGTGGCACAAGCACTGACTTGGCTGCTTGCATTGATGTCTCACTAGGTGGAACTCAGGTTTCTACTACTGGCATAGGCAATTCCCCTCTGGCTAGGGCAGGTCTAAGTACTCTCTAGAGATGCTGGCTGAGTTCTGCCTGTTGTTGCTTTCCGCTGTGACAGGGAAGCACTGAGTTCCAATGCAAAGTCCCATAATCACTGCACTCTCCCTCCTCCAGCGCAAATGTTATTTCTCCATGCCACGTGGCTGCTGCAAAGAATGGGAGAGGAGTGGTGATGGTAAATCAAGACTCGCTATTCTGCCCAAGCATAGTGGCCCATGCCTGTAGTCCTAGCACTTTGGGAGGCTAAAATGGGTGGGTCACTTGAACCCAGGAGTTTGAGATGAGCCTGGGCAACACAGCAGAGAACCCTTTCTCTATAAAAAAAGAAAAAAAGTAGCTTACTGTGGTGATTTTGGCCTATAGTCCCAGCGACTCAGGAGGCTGAAGTGGGAGGATCACTTGAGCCCAGGAGGTCAAGGATGTAGTGACACTAGATTGCATGACTGCATTCCAGCCTGTGACAGAGGGAGACCTTGTCTCAAAAAAAAAAAAGATTGCCTTTTCTACCTTATTCAGTGGCTCTTTTTAAAAAATATATAAAGTTAAAGGCAGGTACTGTTATTGCATACCTGATTTTTGATTTTTATTAAGGTGTTTTTTTGTGTGTGGATAGTTGCTTAATTTGGTGCCCCTGTGTGGAGGAAAATTGGTAGAGGTTACTATTTTCCATCTTACCTTGCTTCCTCCTATTTATCTTTTTTCCATGAATTTGATTCCATTGCTTTTAATATGTTTTAGGTTTTTCTTTTGCATCAAACAGTAGATCAAAAGCCTATCATTTATTTCTCACTCAACTGAAAGCCCCAGGTGATGGCAAGATTTTGCATATATCAAAATAACTAATCAATAACAATTTTAATTTTCTTATCGAAGAAACATCTAAATAGATTAACTTGTGAGTTTTCATAAAAAGTATCATTATAGATTTTATTTTTTCTGAGAAATAATGTTTTTTCCTTTACAGATAAAGAAAAATATGATTCTCATCCTTTAAAAAGTCAGCCATGACACTTATAATTGGACATAGCTATTTTACCATTTTTGTTTTCATATATCATATAGTTTTTTAGTATATGAAATATACATGAAATAAAATTCACAGTTGTAACCACCTTGAAGTGTACAATTCAGTGGCACTCAGTGCATTCACATGGAATGCACTTAATCACTATCCACCTCCAGAACTTATTCATCATTCTAAACTGAAACTTGTACCCAATTAAACGATAATTTGCAACTTCCCACTTCACCCAGCCCCTAATAATTATTACCCTACTTTCGCTTTCTTTGAATTAGGAAGGGTTTCTTCTTTCTCTATCTTGTGGAATAGTGTCAAAAGGATTGATACCAATTAAAAAATTACCAACAAAAAAAAAGTTCAGGACCAGATGGATTCACAGCAGAATTCTACCAGACATTCAAAGAAATAGTGTGTTTTCTGTTTTATTGATTTAAGCTCTTCATGACTAATTTCCTTACACTTTAGGCTTAATTTGCTCGTATGTTTGCTAGATTCTTATGATGAAATTCTAAATCAAACATATTGTAATTTTCAATATTAATATAGGATAAAAAGCTATAAAAATTCCATTAAACACTGCTTTAAACTGCATCTCTCCAATTTTGACATGTGTTTTCATTGTCATTTTGTTCAAAATATTTTTTAATTTCCATTGGGATATCTTTTTAAATTTAGGAGACATTTAATTATGTTTTATGTGATTTCAAAATACTTGTTAATTTTCTAGATATCTTAAAAGTATTTCTAATTTATTTCATTTTTAAAGAAAAAGATGCACAGTATGATTATGAACTTTCAAAACATTGATATTTAAGTAAAATGGCATAAGATCCAACTTTGTAAATGGTTCATATGCACATTACAAAAATGTGTAATTTTAAATTATTGTCATAATATTGTGTAAATGCCAACTACACATTACTTGGAGGAGGCGTTAAAATCTACAGCTGTTACTATAGATTTGACTATTTCTTTATTTCTGTCTATTTTTCCTACATGTATTTGGTTGTTTTTTTTAGATAATTGTAGTTTCACATACAGTTGTAGGAAATAGAACAGAAAGTTCACTTGTACCTTTTAACCCAGTTTTCCCTAATAAAAATGGCTTGCGTATCTAAAGTACAATATTACAATGTGGATATTGACATTGATATAATCCACCAAATTTATTCAGATATCACCAGTTTTGCATGCACTTCTCTGTGTGTCTGTATTTATTTCTATGCAATTTTACTTATGTGTAGATTCATGTGACAACTATCACAATTGAGATCCACAATACTTCCATCACTATAATGATCTCTCATGCTACTCTTTTATGGCACAACCCCCACCGTTGAGATCCATCCAAGTTGCTTCATATATCAATAGGTTGTTGTTTTTATTTCTCTGTAGTCTTAATGGTATGAATTACAATGGTTTTCTTTAGCCATTTTTGCTCATGAAAATATATGTGAGTCTTGTCTTCCTCTGGCTGCTTTCAAGATTTTATCTTTATCTTTGGTTTTTAGCTGTTTGACCATGTTTTGACTAACTGATTTTCCTTGTATTTGAATAAACTGGATATGCATAGCTTCCTGAAGTTGTATATTTGTCTTTCACTAAATATTGGAAAATATCAGTCACTACTTAAAATATTTTTCTCCCCAACTCTTTTATTAATTTTTATTTTTTTCTCTCTCAGGTTTTAAAATTGCATAATTATAATAATTTTATTTTTATGGTCCCTGCCCCATTCTATTTCCCAATGTCTGAATTTTTCAAGTGAAATTTTTTATTTGTGACTACATTTTTTCAAATCTAGAATTTCACCTTGATCCTTTTATATAGTTCTATTTCTTTCCTAAAATGGTCCATTAGTCATTCATTATGATGAAAAATTGCTTGAAGTTTCTAAACATATTTATAATTACTTTAAAAGTCTTTGTCAACTAGATCCAAAATGGAACTTCTGTAAGCGAAATCCAGCATAGAATACTATGCGGTCATTTTCTGTTTACTGCTTTTATTCTTGGCTCTAACTCACATTTTCACGTTTCTCCTTATGTCTAGTGACATTTAATGTTAATAAACTTCAGTTTTAAGAAAAGTGTAGATTTACGGAAAAATTGATCAGAAAATACAAATAGTTCTCAGGTAACCCTCTCCCCACCCCCACACACATTTTTCTGTATTATTTACATCCTGTATTAGTGTGGTATATTTGTTATAATTTATGAACAGATATTAATACATTCTTATGACTAAAGTCCACAGTTTACATTAAGGTTCATTCTTTTTGTTGTACATTCTATGGATATTGAAGAATGTGTAATGACGTGTATCCATTATTAAATTAACATACAAAATATTTCACTCCCCTAAGAATTCCCTGCTCTCCTTCCATTTGGGTTCATTCTTTCTGTTGTACATTCTATGGATTTTGAAGAATGTGTAATGACATGTATCTGTTATTAAAGTAACATACAAAATAGTTTCACTGCCCTAAGAATTCCCTGCTCTCCATCCGTTTATCCCTGCCTCTCTTTCCCTTTAGGAAAAAGAAGTAGGAAACCACTAAACTTTTTACTGTCTCCATAATTTTACCTTTTCTTGATGCCATATAGTTGAAATCATGGAGAATCTTGCGTCTTCAGTTTGGTTTGTCACTTAGCAATGTGCTTTCAAGGTTTCCTTCATGAATTTTCAAGGCTTGATACCTCATTTATTCTTAGTACTAAATAGTACTCCATTGTATGGTGTACCATTTGTTTGTTTACATCCACCTTTTAAACATTTTACATGCTATCACATTTTAGCAATTACAATTAAATTATATCATTTTATATTCCCACCAGCAGCAGATGAGAGTTTCTGTGGCACGCATACTCACCAGCATTTGGTGTGTTTTCGTTTTAGCCATTTTAGCAGACATGTACTGCTATCTAATTGTCATTTTAACTCAATTATATAATGACATATATACTTATTTGCCTTCTGTATATTTTCTTTGGTGAGGTATTTGTTCAGATTTTTGTCCATTTTTAATTGTTTTATTATATTTGAGTTTTAATAGCTCCATATATTTTGAAAGCAGTCCATTTATATATATTATATATAAATAACATATATAACTAATTATATATTATATATATATAAAGTTTATCCTGGCCTTTGTCTTCTCTTCTCATTCTCCTGAATGTCTTTCAAAGAGCAGAAATCTTTAATTTCAATGAAGTACAGTGTATCAATATTTTTTTTCTAGTTTTTTTTTTAATTATACTTTAAGTTTTAGGGTACATGTGCACATTGTGCAGGTTAGTTACATATGTATACATGTGCCATCCTGGTGCGCTGCACCCACTAACTCGTCATGTAGCATTAGGTATATCTCCCAATGCTATCCGTCCCCCCTCCCCACACCCCACTACAGTCCCCAGAGTGTGATATTCCCCTTCCTGTGTCCATGTGATCTCATTGTTCAATTCCCACCTATGAGTGAGAATATGCAGTGCTTGGTTTTTTGTTCTTGCAATAGTTTACTGAGAATGATGATTTCCAATTTCATCCATGTCCCTACAAAGGACATGAACTCATCATTTTTTATGGCTGCATAGTATTCCATGGTGTATATGTGCCACATTGTCTTAATCCAGTCTATCATTGTTGGACATTTGGGTTGGTTCCAAGTCTTTGCTATTGTGAATAATGTCGCAATAAACATACGTGTGCATGTGTCTTTATAGCAGCATGATTTATAGTCCTTTAGGTATATACCCAGTAATGGGATGGCTGGGTCAAATGGTATTTCTAGTTCTAGATCCCTGAGGAATCACCACACTGACTTCCACAATGGTTGAACTAGTTTACAGTCCCACCAACAGTGTAAAAGTGTTCCTATTTCTCCACATCCTCTCCAGCACCTGTCATTTCCTGACTTTTTAATGATCACCATTCTAACTGTTGTGAGATGGTATCTCATTGTGGTTTTGATTTGCATTTCTCTGATGGCCAGTGATGATGAGCATTTTTTCATATGTTTTTTGGCTGCATAAATGTCTTCTTCTGAGAAGTGTCTGTTCATGTCCTTCGCCCACTTTTTGATGGGGTTGTTTGTTTTTTTCTTGTAAATTTGTTTGAGTTCATTGTAGATTCTGGATATTAGCCCTTTGTCAGATGAGTAGGTTGCGAAAATTTTCTCCCATTTTGTAGGTTGCCTGTTCACTCTGATGGTAGTTTTTTTTGCTGTGCAGAAGCTCTTTAATTTAATTAGATCCCGTTTGTCAATTTTGGCTTTTGTTGCCATTGCTTTTGGTGTTTTAGACATGAAGTCCTTGCCCATGCCTATGTCCTGAATGGTAATGCCTAGGTTTTCTTCTAGGGTTTTTATGGTTTTAAGTCTAACGTTTAAGTCTTTAATCCATCTTGAATTGATTTTTGTATAAGGTGTAAGGAAGGGATCCAGTTTCGGCTTTCTACATATGGCTAGCCAGTTTTCCCAGCACCATTTATTAAATAGGGAATCCTTTCCCCATTGCTTGTTTTTGTCAGGTTTGTCAAAGATCAGATAGTTGTAGATATGCGGCGTTATTTCTGAGGGCTCTGTTCTGTTCCATTGATCTATATCTCTGTTTTGGTACCAGTACCATGCTGTTTTGGTTACTGTAGCCTTGTAGTATAGTTTGAAGTCAGGTAGTGTGGTGCCTCCAGCTTTGTTCTTTTGGCTTAGGATTCACTTGCTGATGCGGGCTCTTTTTTGGTTCCATATGAACTTTAAAGTAGTTTTTTCCAATTCTGTGAAGAAAGTCATTGGTAACTTGATGGGGATAGCATTGAATCTATAAATTACCTTGGGCAGTATGGCCATTTTCATGATATTGATTCTTCCTACCCATGAGCATGGAATGTTCTTCCATTTGTTTGTATCCACTTTTACTTCCTTGAGCAGTGGTTTGTAGTTCTCCTTGAAGAGGTCCTTCACATCCCTTGTAAGTTTGATTCCTAGGTATTTTATTCTCTTTGAAGCAATTGTGAATGGGAGTTCACTCATGATTTGGCTCTCTGTTTGTCTGTTGTTGGTGTATAAGAATGCTTGTGATTTTTGCACATTGATTTTGTATCCTGAGACTTTGCTGAAGTTGCTTATCCACTTAAGCAGATTTTGGGCTGAGACAATGGGGTTTTCTAGATATACAATCATGTCATCTGCAAACAGGGACAATTTGACTTCCTCTTTTCCTAATTGAATACCCTTTATTTCCTTCTCCTTCCTAATTGCCCTGGCCAGAACTTCCAACACTATGTTGAATAGGAGTGGTGAGAGAGGGCATCCCTGTCTTGTGCCAGTTTTCAAAGGGAATGCTTCCAGTTTTTGCCCATTCAGTATGATATTGGCTGTGGGTTTGTCGTAGATAGCTCTTATTATTTTGAAATACGTCCCATCAATACCTAATTTATTGAGAGTTTTTAGCATGAAGGGTTGTTGAGTTTTGTCAAAGGCTTTTTCTGCGTCTATTGAGATAATCATGTGGTTTTTCTCTTTGGCTCTGTTTATATGCTGGATTACATTTATTGATTTGCTTATATTGAACCAGCCTTGCATCCCAGGGATGAAGCCCACTTGATCATGGTGGATAAGCTTTTTGATGTGCTGCTGGATTCAGTTTGCCAGTATTTTATTGAGGATTTTTGCATCAATGTTTATCAAGGATATTGGTCTAAAATTCCCTTTTTTGGTTGTGTCTCTGCCCGGCTTTGGTATCAGAATGGTGCTGGCCTCATAAAATGAGTTAGGGAGGATTCCCTCTTTTTCTATTGATTGGAATAGTTTCAGAAGGAATGGTACCAGTTCCTCCTTGTACCTCTGGTAGAATTCGGCTGTGAATCCATCTGGTCCTGGACTCTTTTTGGTTGCTAAGCTATTGATTATTGCCACAATTTCAGATCCTGTTATTGGTCTATTCAGAGATTCAACTTCTTCCTGGTTTAGTCTTGAGAGAGTGTATGTGTCGAGGAATGTATCCATTTCTTCTCAATTTTCTAGTTTATTTGCGTAGAGGTGTTTGTAGTATTCTCTGATGGTAGTTTGTATTTCTGTGGGATCGGTGGTGATATCCCCTTTATCATTTTTTATTGTGTCTATTTGATTCTTCTCTCTTTTTTTCTTTATTAGTCTTGCTAGTGATCTATCAATTTTGTTGATCCTTTCAAAAAACCAGCTCCTGGATTCGTTAATTTTTTGAAGGGTTTTTTGTGTCTCTATTTCCTTCAGTTCTGCTCTGATTTTAGTTATTTCTTGCCTTCTGCTAGCTTTTGAATGTGTTTGCTCTTGCTTTTCTAGTTCTTTTAATTTTGATGTTAGGGTGTCAATTTTGGATCTTTCCTCCTTTCTCTTGTGGGCATTTAGTGCTATAAATTTCCCTCTACACACTGCTTTGAATGCGTCCCAGAGATTCTGGTATGTTGTGTCTTTGTACTCGTTGGTTTCAAAGAACATCTTTATTTCTGCCTTCATTTCATTATGTACCCAGTAGTCATTCAGGAGCAGGTTGTTCAGTTTCCATGTAGTTGAACGGTTTTGAGTGAGATTCTTAATCCTGAGTTCTAGTTTGATTGCACTGTGGTCTGAGAGACAGTTTGTTGTAATCTCTGTTCTTTTATATTTGCTGAGGAGAGCTTTACTTCCAACTATGTGGTCAATTTTGGAATAGGTGTGGTGTGGTGCTAAGAAAAATGTATATTCTGTTGATTTGGGGTGGAGAGTTCTGTAGATGTCTATTAGGTCTGCTTGGTGCAGAGCTGAGTTCAATTCCTGGGTATCCTTGTTGACTTTCTGTCTCGTCGATCTGTCTAATGTTGACAGTGGAATGTTAAAGTCTCCCATTATTCATGTGTGGGAGTCTAAGTCTCTTTGTAGGTCACTCAGGACTTGCTTTATGAATCTGGGTGCTCCTGTATTGGGTGCATATATATTTAGGATAGTTAGCTCTTCTTGTTGAATTGATCCCTTTACCATTATGTAATGGCCTTCTTTGTCTCTTTTGATCTTTGTTGGTTTAAAGTCTGTTTTATCAGAGACTAGGATTGCAACCCCTGCCTTTTTTTGTTTTCCATTTGCTTGGCAGATCTTCCTCCATCCTTTTATTTTGAGCCTATGTGTGTCTCTGCACGTGAGATGGGTTTCCTGAATACAGCACACTGATGGGTCTTGACTCTTTATCCAATTTGCCAGTCTGTGTCTTTTAATTGGAGCATTTAGTCCATTTACATTTAAAGTTAATATTGTTATGTGTGAATTTGATCCTGTCATTATGATGTTAGCTGGTGATTTTGCTCGTTAGTTGATGCAGTTTCTTCCTAGTCTCGATGGTCTTTACATTTTGGCATGATTTTGCAGTGGCTGGTACCGGTTGTTCCTTTCCATGTTTAGCACTTCCTTCAGGAGCTCTTTTAGGGCAGGCCTGGTGGTGACAAAATATTTCAGCATTTGCTTGTCTGTAAAGCATTTTATTTCTCCTTCACTTATGAAGCTTAGTTTGTCTGGATATGAAATTCTGGGTTGAAAATTCTTTTCTTTAAGAATGTTGAATATTGTCCCCCACTCTCTTCTGGCTTGTAGGGTTTCTGCCGAGAGATCTGCTGTTAGTCTGATAGGCTTCCCTTTGAGGGTAACCCGACCTTTCTCTCTGGCTGCTCTTAACATTTTTTCCTTCATTTCAACTTTGGTGAATCTGACAATTATGTGTCTTGGAGTTGCTCTTCTCGAGGAGTATCTTTGTGGCGTTCTCTGTATTTCCTGAATCTGAACTTTGGCCTGCCTTGCTAGATTGGGGAAGTTCTCCTGGATAATATCCTGCAGAGTGTTTTCCAACTTGGTTCCATTCTCCCCATCACTTTCAGGTACACCAATCAGACGTAGATTTGGTCTTTTCACATAGTCCCATATTTCTTGGAGGCTTTGCTCATTTCTTTTTATTCTTTTTTCTCTGAACTTCCCTTCTCGCTTCATTTCATTCATTTCATCTTCCATTGCTGATACCCTTTCTTCCAGTTGATCGCATCGGCTCCTGAGGCTTCTGCATTCTTCACGTAGTTCTCGAGCCTTGGTTTTCAGCTCCATCAGCTCCTTTAAGCACTTCTCTGTATTGGTTATTCTAGTTATACGTTCTTCTAAATTTTTTTCAAAGTTTTCAACTTCTTTGCCTTTGGTTTGAATGTCCTCCCGTAGCTCAGAGTAATTTGATCGTCTGAAGCCTTCTTCTCTCAGCTCGTCAAAGTCATTCTCCATCCAGCTTTGTTCTGTTGCTGGTGAGGAACTGCGTTCCTTTGGAGGAGGACAGGCGCTCTGCTTTTTAGAGTTTCCAGTTTTTCTGTTCTGTTTTTTCCCCATCTTTGTGGTTTTATCTACTTTTGGTCTTTGATGATGGTGATGTACAGATGGGTTTTTGGTGTGGATGTCCTTTCTGTTTGTTAGTTTTCCTTCTAACAGACAGGACCCTCAGCTGCAGGTCTGTTGGAATACCCTGCTCTGTGAGGTGTCAGTGTGCCCCTGCTGGGGGGTGCCTCCCAGTTAGGCTGCTCAGGGGTCAGGGGTCAGGGACCCACTTGAGGAGGCAGTCTGCCCGTTCTCAGATCTCCAGCTGCTTGCTGGGAGAACCGCTGCTCTCTTCAAAGCTGTCAGACAGGGACATTTAAGTCTGCAGAGGTTACTGCTGTCTTTTTGTTTGTCTGTGCCCTGCCCCCAGAGGTGGAGCCTACAGAGGCAGGCAGGCCTCCTTGAGCTGTGGTGGGCTCCACCCAGTTCGAGCTTCCCCACTGCTTTGTTTACCTAAGCAAGCCTGGGCAATGGCGGACGCCCCTCCCCCAGCCTCACTGCCGCCTTGCAGTTTGATCTCAGACTGCTGTGCTAGCAATCAGTGAGACTCTGTGGGCGTAGGACCCTCTGAGCCAGGTGCGGGATATAATCTTGCGGTGCGCCATTTTTTAAGCCGGTCGGAAAAGAGCAGTATTCAGCTGGGAGTGACCCGATTTTCCAGGTGCCATCTGTCACCCCTTTCTTTGACTTGGAAAGGGAACTCCCTGACCCCTTGCGCTTCCCAAGTGAGGCAATGCCTCGCCCTGCTTCGGCTCGTGCATGGTGCATGCACCCACTGACCTGCGCCCACTGTCTGGCACTCCCTAGTGAGATGAACCTGGTACCTCAGATGGAAATGCAGAAATCACCCATATTCTGCGTTGCTCACGCTGGGAGCTGTAGACTGGAGCTGTTCCTATTCGGCCATCTTGGCTCCTCCTCCTCTGTATCAATATTTTTATGTATTGTGCCCTTGATATCATATATATAATCATTAAAGTCAAGGTCACTTAAATTTGTTTCCTATTTTATCTTCTGAGAGATTTATGTTTTGCATTTATGTTTACATCTGGGAGATTTATGTTTACATTTAGGTCGGTAGACTACTTTTAGTTAATTTTTATGAAAGGTGTAATGTCTGCCTCTACTTTCATTATTTTTGTATGTGGATGTCCAGTTGTTCTAACATTATTTGTTGAAAAGACTATATTTTCTCCATGGCATTGTCTTTGTTCCCTTGTCAAAGCTAAATTGATTATATTTGTATGCATATCTTTCTAGCCTCACTATTTGTTTCCAATAAGATCTGTCTATGCTTTTGTCAATATCACACTCTCTGATTACTGTTGCTTTATTGTAAGTCTTTATTTTAGGTAGTCTCAGTCCTCCAAATTTGTTCTCCTTCAAAGATATGCTGGCTATTATTGGGTCTTTTGCCTTTCTACATTTACATTCCATTTAAAATTGATTTATTAATATCCATAAAATAATGTGCTAGAATTACGAGTGGGATGCATGGAATCTCTATATTTAGTTGGAAAAAACACACATCTTAAAGTAAAATGAGTCTTCCTATCCATGAACATGAAATAATTTTTTTTATTACACATTAAGTTCTAGAGTACATGTGCATAACATGCAGGTTTGTTACATATGTATACATGTGCTGTGTTGGTTTGCTGCACCCATTAACTCATCATTTACATTAGGTATTTCTCCTAGTGCTATCAATCCGCCATCCCCCCACCCCACAACAGGCCCTGGTGTGTGTTGTTCCCCACCCTGTGTCCAAGGGTTCTCATTGTTGAATTCCCACCTATGAATGAGAACATGTGGTGTTTGGTTTTCTGTCCTTGAGATAGTTCGCTCAGAATGATGGTTTCCAGCTTCATTCATGTCGCTACAAAGGACATTAACTCATCCTTTTTTATGGCTGCATAGTATTCCATGGTGTATATGTGCCACATTTTCTTAATCCAGTCTATCATTGATGGACATTTGGGTTGGTTCCAGTCTTTGCTATTGTGAATAGTGCCACAATAAACATACCTTTGCATGTGTCTTTATAGCAGCAAGATGTATAATCCTTTGGGTATATACCCAGTAATGGGATGGCTGGGTCAAATGGTATTTCTAGTTCTAGATCCCTGAGGAATCGCCACACTGTCTTCCACAATGGTTGAACTAGTTTACAGTCGCATCAACAGTGTAAAATTGTTTCTATTTCTCCACATCCTCTCCAACACCTGTTGTTTCCTGACTTTTTAATGATCGCCATTATAATTGGTGTGAGATGGTATCTCACTGTGGTTTTGATTTGCATTTCTCTGATGACCATAGATGATGAGAATTTCTTCATGTGTCTGTTGGCTGCATGAATGTCTTCTTTTGAAAAGTGTCGGTTCATATACTTTGCCCCCTTTTTGATGGGGTTGTTTGTTTTTTTCTTGTAAATTTGTTTAAGTTCTTCATAGATTCTGGATATTAGCCCTTTGTCAGATGGGTAGATTGTAAAAATTTTCTCCCATTCTGTAGGTTTCCTGTTCACACTGATGGTAGTTTCTTTTGCTGTGCAGAAGCTCTTTAGTTTAATTAGACCCCATTTGTCAATTTTGGCTTTTGTTGCCATTGCTTTTGATGTTTTAGACATGAAGTCCTTGCCCATGCCTATGTCCTGAATGGTATTGCCTAGGTTTTCATCTAGAGTTTTTATGGTTTTAGGTCTAACATTTAAGTCTTTAATCCATCTTGAATTAATTTTTGTATAAGGTGTAAGGAAGGGATCCAGTTTCAGCTTTCTACATATGGCTAGCCAGTTTTCCCAGTACCATTTATTAAACACGGAATCCTTTCCCCATTTCTTCTTGTTGTCAGGTTTGTCAAAGATCAGATGGTTGTAGATGTGTGGTATTATTTCTGAGGGCTCTATTCTGTTCCATTGGTCTATATCTCTGTTTTGGTACCATTACCATGCTGTTTTGGTTACTGTGGCCTTGTAGTATAGTTTGAAGTCAGGTAGCGTGATGCCTCCAGCTTTGTTCTTTTCGCTTAGGATTGACTTGGCAATGCGGGCTCTTTTTTGGTTCCATATGAACTTTAAAGTAGTTTTTTCCAATTCTATAAAGAAAATCATTGTTAACTTGATGGGGATGGCATTGAATCTATAAATTACCTTGGACATTATGGCCATTTTCAGGATATTGATTCTTCCTATCCATGAGCATGGAAGGTTCTTCCATTTGTTTGTATCCTCTTTTATTTCGTTAAGCAGTGGTTTGTCGTTCTCCTTGAAGAGGTCCTTCACATCCCTTGTAAGTTGGATTCCTAGGTATTTTATTCTCTTTGAAGCAATTGTGAGTGGGAGTTCACTCATGATTTGGCTCTCTGTTTGTCTGTTACTGATGTATAGGAATGCTTGTGGTTTTTGCACATTGATTTTGTATCCTGAGACTTTGCTGAAGTTGCTTATCAGCTTAAGGAGATTTTGGGCTGAGACAATGGGATTTTCTAGATATACAGTCATGTCATCTGCAAACAGGAACAATTTGACTTCCTCTTTTCCTAATTGCATACCATTTATTTCTTTCTCTTGCCTGATTGCCCTGGTCAGAACTTCCAACACTATGTTGAATAGGAGTGGTGAGAGAGGGCATCCCTGTCTTGTGCCAGTTTTCAAAGGGAATGCTTCCAGTTTTTGCCCATTCAGTATGATATTGGCTGTGGGTTTGTCATAGATAACTCTTATTATTTTGAGATACTTCCCATCAATACCTAATTTATTGAGAGTTTTTATCATGAAGGGCTGTTGAATTTTTTCAAAGGCCTTTTCTGCATCTATTGAGATAATCATGTGGTTTTTGTCTTTGGTTCTCTTTATATGCTGGATTACATTTATTGATTTGCTTATATTGAACCAGCCTTGCATCCCAGGGATGAAGCCCACTTGATCATGGCGGATAAGCTTTTTGATGTGCTGCTGGATTCAGTTTGCCAGTATTTTATTGAGGATTTTTGCATCAATGTTCATCAGGGATATTAGTCTAAAATTCTCTTTTTTTGTTGTGACTCTGCCAGGCTTTGGTGTCAGGATGATGCTGGCCTCATAAAATGAGTTAGGGAGGATTTCCTCTTTTTCTATTCATTGAAATAGTTTCAGAAGGAATGGTACCAGTTCCTCCTTGTACCTCTGGTAGAATTCGGCTGTGAATCCATCTGGTCCTGGACTTTTTTTGATTGGTAAGCTATTAATTATTGCCTCAATTTCAGAGCCATTATTGGTCTATTAAGAGATTCAACTTCTTCCTGGTTTAGTCTTGAGAGGGTGTATTTGCCATGGAATTGATCCATTTCCTCTAGATTTTCCAGTTTATTTGCATGGAGGTGTTCATAGTATTCTCCGATGGTAGTTTGTATTTCTGTGGGATCAGTGGTGATATCCCCTTTATCATTTTTATTGCATCTATTGATTCTTCTCTCTTTTCTTCTTTATTAGTCTTGCTAGTGTTCTATCAATTTTGTTGATCTTTTCAAATAACTAGCTCCTGGATTCATTGAGTTTTTGAAGGGTTTTTTTGTGTCTGTATCTCCTTCAGTTCTGCTCTGATCTTAGTTATTTCTTGCCTTCTGCTAGCTTTTGAATTTGTTTGCTCTTGCTTCTCTAGTTCTTTTTATTGTGTCGTTAGGGTGTCGATTTTAGATCTTTCCTGCTTTCTCTTGTGGGCATTTAGTGCTATAAATTTCCCTCTACACACTGCTTTAAATGTGTCCCAGAGATTCTGGTACGTTGTGTCTTTGTTCTCATTGGTTTCAAAGAACATCTTTATTTCTGCCTTCATTTCGTTATTTACCCAGAAATCGTGTTTAGTAACTGTTTTTTTTTTTCTATTTTGCACATGCGAAATGGTATTTTGTAAATATTCTGATCTTGGTTGTTTGCCTCTGAAGAGGGATGATTTTGTTAAACAGTCTGTTCACATAAGGAATTTTTTAACCTTGTGTTTGTTTAGATTTGATTTTTCACTGTGGTATTACCTTTGAACATATAAAGGTTCTTCCAATGCCCTTCTAATTCGACAAGACTCAATCTCAAAAAATTGTCTCCCCAAGTGTCTTGTCATAACTTTATTTTATGCTTTGGTAAGTCAAGTCTTGCTTGACTTTGGTAAAACAAGCCTTGCTCAGTGTAAGGTATAATTTTTACTTCTATATTTCATTTTAAGTTCCAGGGTACATGTGGAAGATGTGAAGGTTTGTTGTACAGGTAAACGTATGTCATGCTGGTTTGCTGCACATATCAACTCATTACCTAAGTGTTAAGCCCACAATGGATTAGCTATTTTTCCTGATGCTCTGCCTTCCCTCTGCCAACAGGTCCTATTATGTGTTGTTCCCCTCCCTGTGTCTATATGTTCACACTGTTTAGGTCCCACTTATAAGTGGGAACAAATGATGTTTGGTTGTCTGGTCCTGCATTAGTTTGCTGACGACAATGGCTTCCAGCTTCATCCACGTCCTTGCAAAGGACATAATCTCCTTCCTCTTTATGGCTGCGTAGTATTCTGTGGTGTATATGTACCACATTTTCTTTATTCAGTCTATCATTGATGGGCATTTTTGTTGATTCTATGTCTTTGTGGTTGTGAATAGTGCTGCAGTGAACATACGCATTCATGTATCTTTATAATAGAATGATTTATATTCCTTTGGGTATATACCCAGTAATGGGATTGCAGCATCAAATGGCATTTCTGGTTTTAAGTCTTTGAGGAATTGCCACACTGTCTTCCACAGTGGTTGAACTAATTTACATTTTCACCAACAGGGTAGAAGCATTCTTATTTCACTGCAGCCTTGCCAGCATCTGTGGTTTCTTAAATTTTTAATAATTGCCATTCTGACTGGCATGAGATGGTCTCTTATTGTAGTTTTGATTCACATTTCTCTAATGATCAATGATGTTGAGCTTTTTTTTGCCACATAAATGTTTTCTTTTGAGAAGTGTCTTTTTATGTTCTGTGTCCAATTTTAATGTTGTTCGATTTTTTTCTTCTAAATTTGTTTAAGTTCCTTGTAGATTCTGAAAATTAGACCTTGGTCAGATGGATAGATTGCAAAGTTTTTCTCCCATTCCATAGGTTATCTGTTTGCTCTGATGATAGCTCCTTTTGCTGTGCAGAAGCTCTTTGGTTTATTTAGATCCCAGTTGTCAATTTTTGACTTTGTTGTAAGTGCTTTTGGCATTTTGATCATGAAATCTTTGCCGACGATTATGTCCTGAATGATATTGCCTAGATTTTCTTCTAGGGCTTTTATAGTTTTGGGTTTTACATTTAACTCTTTCACCCATTTGAGTTAATTTTTGTATAAGGTGTAAGGAAGGGGTCCAGTTTCAGTGTTCTTCATATGGCTAGCCAGTTCTCCCAGCACCACTTATTAAATAGGGAACCCTTTCCCCATTGCTTGTTTTTGTCATATTTGTCGAAGATCAGATGGTTGTAGATGTGCAGTATTATTCCTTAGTTCTCCTTTCTGTTCCATTGGTCTGCATGTCTGTTTTTGTATCAGTACCATGCTGTTTAGGTTACTGCAGCCTTGTAGTATAGTTTGAATTTGGGTAGCATGATGCCTCCAGCTTTGTTCTTTTTGCTTTGGATTGTCTTTGCTATTTGGGCTCTTTTTTGGAGGCCCTGCCCAGTGAGGAGAAATGAATCCCAGGACCACCTAAAGAAGCAGTCTGACCACAATCTGCCACAGCCACTGTGCAGCACTGTGGGGGAATTCCTCCTGGTCCAAACCAATTGGACTCCCTGGCCCTAGTAGGGGAAAATGGCCAACTGGAGCTGCAGTGATGGTGGGCACCCTTACCCCTGGCAATTCGGTCATCTTAGACAGTCTCCAGCCTGCTGCCACTTGTCATAACCTGAGTGGCTGTGGAGAGCCTGCACAGCTCTGTGCTTGGGACCCAAGGCCTTGGTGGCATGGGCTCACAAATGGATCTCCTGATTCACAGGTTGTACAGACCCATGAAAAAAATGGGGTTTCTGAGACTGGGTAGCGCAATCACTCACTGCCTCCCTTGGCTGGGAGTGGGAGCTCCTCTTGCCCCATGCAGCTTTTGGGTGGGCTGCCACTCCACCCTGCTTTTCCTCGGTCTCTGTGGGTCACATCAACTGTCTAGTCAGTCCCAATGAGAGAACCTGGATACCTCAGCTGAAGGTGGAGGATTCACCCACTCTTTTTGTTCTTCTTGGTGAGAGCCACCAATGGCAGCTCCTTCTAGTCGGCCATATTGGCTTCTCCCCACCATCCTTACTTCTTCTTTTTTTTTTTTTTTTTTTTTTTGATGGAGTCTCGCTCTGTCACCCAGGCTGGAGTGCAGTGGCGAGATCTCGGTTCACTGCAAACTCCGCCTCCTGGGTTTACGCCATTCCCTGGCCTCAGCCTCCCGAGTGGCTGGGACTACAGGCACCCGCCACCACGCCCGGCTAATTTTTTTCTTTTCTTTTCTTTTTTTTTTTTTTTTTGTATTTTTAGTAGAGATGGGGTTTCACCGTGTTAGCCAGGATGGTCTCATCTCCTGACCTCGTGATCTGCCCTCCTCAGCCTCCCAAAGTGCTGGGATTACAGGCTTGAGCCACTGTGCCTGGCCCACCATCCTTACTTCTTAAGCAATGCCTTTCCTTTATCTTAGCTGGATTCCCTGGGTACTTATTAGTTAGGTCTCTTCACTGTGACTGGACTAGAATACCAATGTTTCTTGACACTGCTTAATGTCTATTAACTATTTACTCTCATCTGAGTAGTAAGTCCTATGTTGCTATCTTCACATGGTATCATCCTGATCCTTCACAGTTTAACACCCTCACCAAAGACAGATCTGAAACTTCCAGTAGACTTCTGCCACTCAATGCAGATCCCTTCTCTGTGGTGCTTTGACTCACAGTTTCCTGCTACTTTACCCACACCTCTGACGTCTGCCTTGTGAGCTCAGTGGAACGATTATGTTCTGCTTGGGTTCCAGTTCTATGTACTACAATCTGAAAATTGTCCCTAGTAAGAAAGCTATTGCCAATATGATATTCACATCAGGAATTCTCTTTCTTTTGAGGATTGCGCTCTCATGCTACCTGTTGTTTAGTGCTTGAGAAAAGATGTCTCACAATTTTTGTCCAATTTTATGGTTATTTTAACTGCTATGACAAGTCTGGTATCAGCTACTCTATCATGATCAGAAGTAAAAGTCTCCTTAAATTCTATCATATTATAGTTTATAACCCAAGTAATAATATTTTGTTTTCTGTAATATATGGCCAGAGTTGATATCTTTCAGTTAATACTGAAATCTTAATATAAATAAAAGCAATTATTTACACTTTTCTATTAAATATATATATGTGCTTACACTATGAATTCTAGATCTTCTTCCTGGATTTTTAGGACCTTTTGTCTGACATAACCCACCTATTTATCAAATTCTTCATCCTTCCATTTACTTGCTTGCTTCTAGTTGGGTTTATCTTGATGTCCTACAAATTTTTTTTTGTTTCTTAAAATCATTCAGAATCAGAACTCTGAGAAATATCTGGTCTCTGGGAAATATTATCTGCCGAATGGAAATCTCCATATGTATTTTTTTCATAAATGTGCAATTTTAACAAACATCCTGGATAAATACAATGTACAGTTAAAACTGAAAACCAGTGGAGCAAGGTTATTTTGCCAAAAATACCCTTTCTTCTCCTTTTCTGAATTCTATCTATATTATATTTCTGTATATTAATTTCTTTATTTCCTGAAACATTGACAGTATGTGTTTGATACCATATAATATGACACATATACCATCCTCTATTATTTCTATAGATTAATTTCTGTTAGTCTTGACTCTTCCACTAGATTTTAAGCTGTTTGAAAAAAAAGACTACAACCTACCACACTGCTGAACACTACTAAGTTTGAAGGGTCAATGGACCACTCTTGAAAAACATTGAATACAATTTTTTTTCTCTTTTACAAAGTATTATAAATGATGGGCATTCAGAAAAGGCCACAGTTATATATTTACACAGATAGTAAATATATAACTCAGGTCTGTTTGTTTCCAGAGGCATAGAAATCAAGCACTTCCATTGGTGTTCAATTATTACTACATATTAGACTTATCCAGGAAGTTTCTTAAAATTGCATGTTACTGAAAAGAACCATAAAAATTCCATTCAGCAGGTACTGATAGCTCCCAGATATCTAATTTTCAGTTATCTCTATGTGAGTCTGATGCAGGTGTTCCACAAACTTGAAGAAAAATCTCACTAAGTTATGGAGTTGGTGACTATATTGAATAACAAATACAATTATAGACAACGTTTTAAGCTATGTGAATCCAAATGGAAGATTAGCTGCTAAAATGGTCCTTAGCTCTGAGAATACATTTTCCAATTGTAGTGAAAATCAGAAATTCATTGAGCTATGTAGGCTTTTGAAGGTACTTTACCATAAACCTTTGAAGAAAGGGGCTAGAAAGTAGGTAACACTATAATAGAAGGCAAATGAAAATATGCTTTAGACAAAAATGAAATCACTTTCAGGCAGGACTTTGAATAATTCAAATACAAAACTTTTCATCCTAGGTTCAGCTATGCATTGTTTTCCTGAGCGAAGTAAAATATCATAATAAAAATATCATGTGTTTTTGGAATTGTTTCTCTCCTCATTAATTACTTTTGTTTCTAGTTCTTGTACTCTTTTTCATAAACTGCTTTCTTGTATATATTTATTAAAAATAATTATTTGAGACAATTTTTTTTAAAAAGTCATAAAATTTTTTAGCTATTGACATGTTAGGATGTTAGCAAAGTAAGGATTGAAATCCCTTTATTTTATTGATTAGCATTTGAGGTTTATCTTTTATTTCTTATTAACAATAATAAAGTAGACATTTAATATACTTTATAATAATATATAACAATTTAATTTCTTCAATAATCAAGTATTATCAATAGTGACAAAGGATTTCTAAATTTTTGCTGTGTTTTTGTTTAATAAGATATATATGTATATATATGTGTATATATATATATATATATATATATATATATATATATATACACACTACTTCTTTTACATACTTTCTGAATATGAGGTTTCTGAAGAGCAATTTTTATATTTTTTTTTCTTTAAACACACACAACCCCTACTCCATTTTGTTTCACATGGAAAATGGTTATCTTTTAAATACATAGTCTGGAAACAAGGAAAACTGCACATAGAGATACATTTAATATGTTACCACAAAGAATTATAAAAGCATTTAAAACACTCCAGAATTTATGCTACCTTCAATATTTTTGATGATATAGAAACAAAATGGAAATTTAAAAATAGTTTAAAAATAGTCTTTGCAAAATATTGTAAATATCAATTTAATATTCATTAGTTCAGACCACAGCAATAAAGCTTTTTATTCTTATTTTTGTTCTTATGCATGTAATTAACATTTTCTTTTTTTCTACTTGTAAGTGAGAAATTACATTTGTGTGCTTTGTATGGTGAAATATTAGATTAATTTTATGGCAGGTTCTGAAAGTTCATTTTCTTTCAACATCAGTCCTGTTTTTCCTTTACTACAAAATTATACTTACAAGTAATACCCTTTGAGGGTAGTAATTTTAAAACAGTGAACATAATATATCATGATTTCAGATTCATAGAGCAAACTTAATTTAAAAATCTGTTTACTTTTTACATTTTCTACTGAATTGGGTTAGATAAAGGATAGTCTCAGCAAGCAGGACACAGATTTAATATGCTTCAACTATAAAAAGTTTTCTAACTACCTCATCATTGAATTAATTCAATAATAAATATCTGGAAACCCTTTATAAAAGATGTAAGACAAATCCCATTTGACAAGAAATTCAAATTGTCTTATTGATAGTTATATGAACAAATAAGTATATTTTGCACAAACATCGTTTCTGCTTAGCCAGACAACTGATATAATGCATATTAACTTTGTATGGTTTTAGTGGGCAACCAAATCACTGAAGGAAAAATGTAAAACAATGTAGTCTTTAAAGCGAATGTTATTTTACCCATCGAACATTTTCATTCTTTGTTTACATCTCTCATATACCTAATTCCCTCTCATTAGAACAATATTGTGTTAGCATAGTAACAAAAATATCAGATTTTCTCCACTTAAGGACATTTACAACCATGTGAAATGAGAATTTTTAAGGGTCTTTCTACTTGGTTTGTTTCCTATAATAACATGTTTGCAGCTGTAATTAAGGAATTTATAAAGCCACTGCCAATTAGCTAATTTGATGAGAACATCTGACTATGTGGAGGCTGAATTTCTGCAGCTGGGCCTGCTAAATTATCATCAGCTCAACTTAAAGCAGGAAAAATATGCGCTGAGTGAAAGCAAGGCACCAACAGAGAAGAAAAACAAGCAAGCATATGTTAGTATGTTAGTAGAAGTCACGTATTAAATAAAGCTACTTAATTGACAGCAGACTGGATTTTAAATATTTTTTAAAAAACTGAACAGAGATTGTATAAGATGAAATAATTTGGTATGTATATTATGGAAATGGGCACCTTTCCTATTATGCTGAATCCCCACAAATAAGACAGCTAGAATTAATGGCATTTTCCTAATTATTGACATTGCTAGAATTTTAGCACTTTTTTAAACATAAAGTGGTGTTTCTAATGTGGCATTGCAAATTGGACAGTTTTCCATGGAAAGACAAAAATGTTTTAAGAAACTCTAGGCCATATTTTCCAACAACTAATCATTTTCATATGTCTTTATAAACAGAAACGAAGCAATTCATTCAGCATTAATTTTTCTATCTACTATTCAAGATGAGTTGGACTGAACTCTCAAATCTCTCTGGTCCCTTTGTGACCAGAATGCATACTTTGATGAGCCAGCTGCCCAGTTTTAGAGTAGTCTACATCAATAAAAGACAAATGACATAATTGGTTTGTATTGAGTCTCAACAAGACTCAACTCCAAATATGGACTGAAAATAAAAATTGGCCTTGGTATTTATATCAAAAGTTATTAGCCTGGGACAATTATTTAGATAGACTAAATTTTCTGATTTTTTTGGAGCTTCCACTACAGATACACAGTGTATTAATCGTAGATCTGTACTCCCTGTGTCCATCATAACACTCTCCCACACCCATTTCAAGATGTTAAAGTGCCAAAATTAAATAATGTTATACAACTTTGCAGATAGTGCTTTGCTTCCCAGGAAAAAATACGTTATTTTTCTGCCATTAATTATATAGCAGGTGAGATAGGGGTATGCATGTGTGAATGTGTGTGTGTATAATTGTATCATCTGTAAATAAACAAAAAAGACACACTCACATTTGGTGATGAGGTAGTACTTTAATACATGTCTTGATAGTTTGTCCAGCCCTATTCTGCTCTCCAACAAGTTGCCACTGATTTTTAAGTCCCAAGATGAAACCAAGCAAGCATCACATATGAGACAAAAAAATGAATCGAATACACTTGAAAATGAATTTATGAATAACTATAAATATACAAAGGAGTAAGCCAATAAACATGATAAAGGAGATGTGGTAGACAATGAGAAAATATTTCAGTACTATATGATATAATAAACTAAGGCTTCATTTTTAGTAAATCAAGTGTTAGAGTGACAAGAACATTTGTATTCAAAAGCATAGAGAACAAACACAGGAACAGAAAAACAAATACTACATTCCCTGACTTGTAAGTGGGAGCTAAACATTGAATATATATGGACACAAAGACAGAAAAAACAGACACTGGGGAATGCTTGAGTGGGAAGAGTGGGAATGGAACGTGGGTTGGAAGGCTACCTATGGAGTACTATGCTCACTACCTTGGTGACAGGATTATTCATACACCAAGCATCAGCAATACACAATTTACAAATGTAACAAACCTGCACATGTACTTTCAGAACCTAAAATAAATTTAAAAAGAGAAAGCAAACAAACAGATAGACAAAAATATAGAGAAAATCCAAGGGAATAACTTGAAGCATAAATATTGTCTATTAACATAACACTGTATATTAAAGATTGCAATGGGTAGGTATAACGCTGACATCACAGCCTGCTTTGTCCATAACCAGAAGTACCATCTTCTTTAAGTTTTGTGGATATGCATATAAGATAATACAACCAAGAAACTGGATTTTTCAGACACAGTTCCAAGAGTAACAAAGCTGTGACAAAGCTACTACTTTATTACAGTACCAGTCAAAACAAGTTTTAGAAATATCTTCTTCCCACTCTGTAATTTTTCTTCACAGCTTAATGGACAACTGAGCTTCATAAGGAATTATTCTCCTCTCAAAGAATTTGTCTATGATTTATGCAATCTATTACAAGTTGTTACATATCAAGATTAAAATTACAAACTGTATTCTTCATGTAAGATTGCTTTTTTCTGTTAAAATAACTAATGTGAAAACACTTTATATAAACAAACCATATCTTAGTATCTCACTTTAGGGAAAATGTAAAAGAAATCGTCAAAATGTAACTAAATAGCTTTGACATTCTTGACCAACTTCTTTACTTTAGAAAAAAAATTGTTTCCTTTCAATTATACAGGCCACATATAGACATTTTCCCCTATCTACAAAATCAGGGAAGTTTCTTCATATGGTAGTAATGAGGAATGAATAAGGCAATGCATATAATGCAATTATGAAAATGGCAGGCACATCTCAAATGCTCAAGGAATGTTAGAAAAGATATAATATATAAAAACGAAGAGAAAATAACCCACTATCCTGTAATTCATACAGAATAGATTTATCAATTTTCAGTATGTTTCCAGTCATATGTGTTAAAACTATGCAGAATGTAGAAGGGTAGTGTTTCATAGGTAGGTTGATTTGGAGTCAAAGAACTATACTTGGAGTTCCAGCTCCACAATTTACTAGATAAATGAATTTAGGCAACTTACCTAACTTATCTGAGACATTTTCCCCTATCTACAAAATCAGGAAAGTTTCTTCATATGGTGGTAACGATAAGACAATGCATATAATGCAATTATGACAAAGGCAGGCACATCTCAAATGCTCAAGGAATGTTAGATATACTAAAATCATTTAAATTATTTAGTTCTTACCATACTCTTTTTTATATAACATGATTTTTTTTTCTTTGCTTAAAAATGTATCGAGGAAGCTCTGCTACTGGTAAGGCTCAGTAATCTCCATTTGATAATCATTTTGCAGATAAGAACTATAAAATCCATTAAAAATTTAAAAAATCTAACTGAAGAATCTTGAAACTCAACAAAAGTAGTCATATTCTTGAGGGAAGTCTGCACTTAGAAGAGGAAAACGGCATATGATAAAATCCTTATTGTTTGCTGCTTCTTAACCTAAGAGCAAGCGCATAGGGTAGCTTAAACTCCAATAGGGAGTCCACACGTTTTTGGCCTTAAGAACAAGGAACTTGAAGTTGGTGCAACCACTGCCATGGGAAACTGAAGGGGTAATTCTAAACAGTATAGGGCCAGAAAGAGGGATTTAAAAATTGTGTGAATAACCTCTGCCTTAATCTCTGGACAGGCACTGATTGCATAAACAAACATGGAAAAAGAAAACTAATCAAAATTATACACTTTAACTTTGTCTCTCATTTTTTAGCATTGTGTTGTTTCTCTTTATGTCTTATTGTACCGTCTGTGTCTTTAGTTATTATTTTTTATTGGTTCATCATTTAGCCTTTCTAATTCAGTAAAGAGTAGTTTATGCACCACAATTAGGTTTTTATATTATTCTGTGTTTTTCTGTGTGCTTACTATTACCAGTGAGTTTTGTATTTTCAAATGACTTATTCCTTCTCATGAACATCCTTTCCCTTCAGATTGAAGAACTCCCTGAAGGATTTTTGTAGAACAGGTCTGGTATTGATGAAATCCCTCAGGTTTTTTTTCTTGTCTGAGAAGGTCTTTATTTCTCCTTCATGCTTACGGGATATTTTCACAAGATCTTCAAGGTTATGAAAAATTGTTTTCCTTCAGCACTTTAAAAATGTCATGCTACTCTCTCCTGGCCTGTAAGGCTTCCACTGAAAAGTCTGCTGCCAGACATATTAGAGCTACATCGTATGTATGTTTCTTTTCTCTTGCTGCTTATAGATTCTTAGTCTATTGTTGACATTGGGCACTTTGATTATTAAATATCTTGATGCAGTCTTCTTTGAGTTAAGCTTGTTTCATATTCTATTGCTTTCTTGTAGTTGAATGCTGATATCTTTCTCTAGGATTGAGAAGTTCTCTGATATTATCACTTTGAATAAACTTTCTACCCTATTGCTTTTACAACCTCTTCCATACAGCCTTTTAGGCTTAGGTTTGCCCTTTTATGGCAATTTTCTAGATTTTTATATTTCTTTCTTTTTCTTCTGACTGTGAGTTCTCAAATAGGCTGGATACAAGCTCACTAATTGTTTCTTCTGCTTGATCAATTCTGCTATTAGAAGACTCTGATGCATTCTTCAACATGTTAATTGCATTTTTCACCTCTAGAATGTTCGCTTGATTCTTATTAATTTTTTCAATCTTTGTTAATTTTTTTTTCCAATTGACTTCTGAATTTCTTCTTTGCATTATCTTGAATTTCTTCAACTTTTCTAAAAACAGCCCTTTTATATTCTCTCTCCAAAAGGACAAATATCTCTGTTTCCCCATGATTGGTTTCTGGTGCCTTACTTTGTTCATTTAGTGAAGTTACGTTTTCCTGGATGATGGTGATGCTTGTAGATGTCTCTCAGTCTCTTGGCATTGAATAATTAGGTATTTATTATAGTCTTAACAGTCTGAGTTTGTTTGTGTCTGTCTTTGTTGGGAAGGCTCTCAAGGTATTCTACATAAGTCGGGTTCCAAGCCCAATAATGCTGTGAGTTTTGCAGACTCGTAAAAGTACCAATTTGGTGGTCATGGTTAAGATCTAGAAGATTTCTCTGTATTTACATGCAAAGAATCTTGTTCTTTCTCTCACATTTTTTTCCCAAACAAATGGAATTTCTCTGTGCTGAGACACCTGGAACTGCAGCTGGGCTGACTCAAGTACCTTTGTGGCCGCCACCACTGAGAATGCACTGGCTCAGACCTGAAGCTACCACAGCACTGGTCTTTGCCCAAGGCCCTTCATTCAGAGTGGTGAGTGCATCCTGGCTATGGATATGTCCAGAGGTAGTGTTTTGGTTCCAGGGTTTAGAGTAGCAATTTACCTCAGCAATTTACATGATGTTCTGTGCTACTGTGGTTAAGCTACCACTCAGACAGCAATATAATTTCCTTCCTTCTCTTCCTTCCCCTTTCCACAGTCAGAGGAGTCTCTTCTTGTAGCCCTCACCACCACCGGTCTGTGGAGGTTTCTGACAGGCCACAACTGATATTTGCTTAAAGCTCAAAGGCACATATGACTGTTTGTGATGAATACTACCAGGCCTGGGACTCATCTTTCAGGTCACTTGGCTCCCCTCTGTTCCAGAACATGTCCAGAAATGCTTTCAACAGCCTAGGCCTGAACTCAGAAACTTCAAGAACCTTTTTCTTACTCTACCCCACTGTGGATGAATTGGTACCTAACATGCAAGATAAAGTCCCCTTATTTTTTCTTTACCTTTCTCAGAAAGGAGTCTTTCACCATAACCATCACAGCTGAGAATGTGCTGGGTCTCTCCTGAAGCCAGCATGTTTCAGAGCTCAAGGTCCACTATATACTCCCTGGATATTGCTGCTAGTTATTTCGTACTCAAGGACTCTTTAGTCAGTAGGTGATGAATTCTGCCAAGACTGGGTCCTTCCCTTCAAGGTAGTGTGTTCCTTTTTGGTCCAGGGTATATCTAGAAATGTCATCAAGGAACTAGAGCCTCGAGTAGTGGCCTCACAACTCTGCCATGTGCCTTATCCTATTGTGAATGAGATGGTATCCAAGATGCAAGACAAAATCCTCTTTATACTTTGATTTCTTTTCCTTAAGCAGGAGAAATGAGTCACTTTAGTTGCTATGAGTTTTGCTGCCTGGTGCTGCAGGAGGGATGGTACAAACCATCTCTCAGTCATGCCAGTGAGTATCTCTCTAGGTTGCATGCCACTCTAGTTCACTGGCTCTAAACCTAGCCTGCCACTACAAGTTGTCTAAAAATTGCAGTCTTTGTGTCCTAGACTGCTTTTCAAGTTTACCTAGCACCCCAGAGCACTTCAGCCTACAGTGGCAGGGCTTGCCGACAAACTCAATTTCTGACTGCTGGAATAGGTGATTGCTCCATGGCTAGGGCTGGTCCAAATGCTCCCTCCCTGCACTGGTGCTGGCTGAACCCAGCACAGTTTTATTTATTATTGTGACAGCACAGCACTGAGTTCAATGTAAAGTCCCACAGTTACTGCATTTTTTTTCTCCGCAGTGCACAAATTCTCTGCACTTCAGAGCCACTGAAGGATAGGGAAGGGTTGGCACTGATGATTCAAGACTGTCTTTTCTGCCCTGCTTGATGCCTTTTTTGTTGATACAAAGAGAAAACCAAGTACTGTGATTGCTCACCAAATTTTTGTTTTTTGTGACAGAGCAATTCTGTGTATTGATAGTTACGAAAATTTTGTGTTCCAGCAGAGGTAAAGAAAGGTGTAGGTTACTATTCTGCCATCTTGCTCCCTATTAATATGTATAAAAATATAGTAATTGCCATAATAAAGTATTGGTGCAAGAACACTTTAACAAATAATTATAATAGAATATAATCCATAAACAAATTGAAAATATATGTACCCTTGAATATGACAAAGGAAAAACTGAAAATCAAAAAAAAATTAAGTTAAATGCATATTCATGTGGGAGAAAGTTGATCTTGAATCCTACTCACACCATATAAAACATCAATATTATTTCTATTGTGGTTATGGGTATGAATGACTAAAGATGAAATGTTCTAGTAAAAACGCAAAATAATATATTCATGATTTGTCTAGAGAATTATTTCTTAAAGAAGATTCAAAGATCATTAGTCATAAGGTAAAAATAAATAAATCAGACTATAATAATAATAATTCCTTTTCATTAAAAGATACCATTAAGTGGTAAAAAGGAATACCATGGAGTGGGAGGAAGATATTTCCAGATCTTATTTTGGCAATACTTGTGTGATGAATACATAAATAACTACTCAAATCAATGAGGAAAAGGCAGAATCCTATTTATTTTTAAAATGGCAAAAGACTCAAACAGGCATTTCATAAAATAGAATATCCAAATAACCAATAAAAATTTAAAAGCTCCAAACCTACCAGCATTTTACCCCTGTGCTGACACTGCCATAAGTGCAAAACTAGGCATAAAAAACAGCAGACTCACTCCCAGCTCTAAGCGGCCATTGCTGCCAATATGAACATGCACAGAGGGTGAAAACAGTCCTGCATCCACCAGCACCTTGCTCCCAAGATGAAATCACCACTGGTGCAAGCACATGCGTCCTCACCAGCAGAGTCCCCTCCCCTCCTCTCCCCCACTTAGCCATACTGCCACTGCTGCTGCTGCAAATGCCTGCACAGTGGTGGGCACCCCAGCACCTGCTAGCACCCTGCCTTCGGTGATGACCATTCACTCCACTATGCTACCATTGCTGCTGTCATGTGTGAATGAAGATATATCTTACTGCCACCTCCTTATGAATTGCTTTGGCTGGCACCACACATCATAGTGTTGTGACCAGTGGTCCAGGGGCACCTTGGCCTCTCTCATGAAGCAGCTTCCTATCCTTGAGAAGGCAGAGATAAAAGCCAGGGCATGATATCGGTCGCCCAGCATTACAGCACACAGTTCAGGAGTGCTTACCAAAGGCTTGACCCCATAAAATCTTCCAATAATTAAGCCAGTCTACTGAACACACCTGATATCACAGTCCAACCCCAAGGTCATCAAATCGGATAAAAGAAAAAAAAATCTGAAGGACAGAAACTTCAAATATTGAAGGAACATGAGCCCACAACAATGAGAAAGAACCAGTGCAAGAACTCTGACAACTCAAAAAGCCAGAGTGTCTTCTTTCCTCCAAGTGACTGCACTAGTTTTGCAGCAAGGGTTGTTAGCATGGCTGAGATGGCTGAAATGACAGAAATATTGTTCAGCATATAAACAGAAATGAAGATCATTGAGTATCAGGAGAATGTTGAAATCCAATCTAAGGAATCTAAGAATCAGAATAAAATAATACAGGAGCTGAGAGGCAAAATAGCCAGCATTAAAAATAATGTAACCAATCTGATAAAGCTAAAAAACACTCTATATAAATTTTATAATGCAAACACAAGTATTAAAAGCAGAATAGACAAGGCTGAAGAAAGAACCTTAGAGCTTGGAAACTATTTTTCTCATATAAGGAAATCAGACAAGAATAAAGAAAAATGAAAGAAAAAGAAAAACAAAACCTCCAAGAAATATGGAATTATGTAAAGAGACTAGGTCTATGACTCATTGGCATCCATGAAAGGGTTGTGGAAAATAAGAACAACTTAGAAAACATACTCCAGGACACCAGCCATGAGATTTTCCCCAATCTAGCTATAGGGGCCAACATTGAAATTCAGAAAAAGCAGATAACATCTGCAAGATAGTTCACATGAAGATCATCCCGAAGAGACATAATCATGAGATTATCCAAGGTTGAAATGAAAGAAAAAATGTTAAATACTGCTAGAGAAAAAGAACAGGTCACCTACAAGTGAAGCCCATCAGAATAACGGCAGACCTCTCAGAGAAACCATACAAGCTGCAAGAGAAATGGGACATATATTCAACATTCTTGAAGAAAAGAAAATTCTAATAAAAAATTTTATGTCTGATCAAACTATGCTTCACAAGCAAAGGAGAAATAAGATCTTTTCAGACAAGTAAAGGCTGAGAAAATTAGTTACTACCAGACCTATCTCACAAGAGCTCTTGAGAGAAGCTTTAAATATGGTAAGAAAATACCGTTTCTAGCTGCCAAAAAAAAACCCACACACACTTAAGTGCACAGACCAATGACACTATAAAGCAACTATGCAAAAAATTGGGCATAATAAACATACATGCAACATCATGATCACAAGATCAAGTCCACACATATCAATACTAACCTTGAATGTAAATGGGCTAAATGTCCTCATTAAAAGGCTCAGAGTGGCAAGCTAAATATAAAACTAAGACCCAATGATATGCAGCCTTCAAGAGGCCTCTTTTACATGCAATGACACACATAGGTTCAAAATAAAAGAATGTACATAAATCTACCAAGCAAATGAAAAACAGAAAAAAAGCAGGGTTTGGAATTTTAATTTTAGACAAAATAGACTTTAAACTAACAACCATCAAAAATGCAAGAAAGGATAATAAGTAATGGTAATGGGTTTAATTAAACAAGAAGACCTAACTTTCCTAAATATATATGCGCCTAACACAAGAGCACCCAGATTCATAAAGCAATTTCTTAGAGACCTTCACAGAGACTTAAACTGCCACATAATAATAGTGAGAGAATTCAAGACTAAACTGACTATATTAGAAAGATCATCAAGGCAGAAAGTTAGCAAAGATATTCAGGACCTGAGTTCAACACTGGACCAAATGGATCTAATACACATCTAAAGAATTCTTTACACAAAAACAATAGAATATACATACTTCTCATTTGCATATGGAACATACTCTAAAATCAACTACCCAATTGGACATAAAACAATCCTCAGCAAATGTAAAAGAACTGAAATCATAACAACCACTCTCTCAGACCACAACAAACAAAAAAATAACATACAAGACAAAGAAAATTGCCCCAAAACAACAATTACATTACACAAAAATTAAACAACCTGCTCCCAAATGACTTTTGAGTGAATAAAAGTACTAAGGCAGAAATCAGTAAGTTTTTTTTAAACTAATGAGAACAAAGATACAACATACCAGTACCTCTGGGACACAGCTAAGGCAGTGTTAATGGGAAAATTTGTAGCACTAAAATCCCACATCAAAAAGTTGAAAAGATCTCAAATTAATAACCTAACATCATAACTAAAATAACTAAAGAAGCAAGAGCAAACCAATTCCAAAAGTAGCAAAAAACAAAAAACAATTAACATCAGAGCTAAACTGAAGGAGATTAAGACATAAAAAAAATTCAAAAGATCAAAGAAGCCAGCCACTGACTTTTTGAATGAATTAATGAGATAGACCACTAGCTGGACTAATATTTAAAAAAAGAGAAAAAATCCAAATAAACACAATCAAAAATGACAAAGTGGATATTTCCATTGACTCCACAAAATACAAATAACCATCAGAGACTATTTTTAAAAAAATCTATGCACATAAACTAGAAAATCTAGAAGAAGTTGATGAACTCCTGGACACATACACAATCCTAATACTGAATCAGGAAGAACTTAAATCCCTGAACAGACCAATAGTGAGCTCTGAAATTGAATCAGTAATAAATAGCTTACCAACCAAAACAAACAAAAAATCCCAGGAATAGTTATATTCACAGCTGGAGTCTACCAGGTGTACAAAGAAGAGCTGGTACCATTCCTACTGAAAATATTCTTAAAAATTGAGGAACAGGGACTTCTCAACTCTTTCTATGAGGCCAGCACCATCCTGATACCAAAACCTGGCAGATAGATAACAACAACAAGAAAAGTTCAGGCCAATATCTTTGAGGAACATCGATGCAAAAATCCTTAATAAAATACTGGAAAACTGAATCCAGCAGCACAACAAAAAGCTTACCTACCACAGTAATAATGTAGGCTTTATCCTTGGGGTGCAAAGTTAGTTCAACATACACAAATAAATAATCAAGATCCATCACACAAACAGAACTGAAGACAAAAACCACATGATCATCTCAATTGAAGCAGAAATGGCTTTTGATAAAATTCAACATCTTTTTACGTTAAAATCTCTCAACAAACTAGTTGCCAAAGGAACATACATAAAAAGAATAAGAACCATCTATGACAAACCCACAGCCAATATCATACTGAATGGGCAAAAGCTGGAAGCATTTTCCTTGATAACCAGCACAAGAGAAGGATGCCTTCTTTCATTACTCCTATTCAACATAGTATTGGATGTCCTGGCCAGAGCAATCAGACAAGAGAATGAAATAAAAGGCATCCAGATAGAAAGAGAGGAAGTCAAACTATCCCTGTTTGCAGATGACAAGGTTCTATATCTAGAAAACCCCATAGTCTTGGCTCAAGAGTTCTTTAAGCTGATAAACAGCTTCAGCCAAGTTTCAGGATACAAAATCAATATACAAATATCAGTAGAATTCCTATACACCAACCACAGCCAAGCTGAGAGCTAAATCGGGAATGCAATAGCATTCATAATTGCTACGAAAAGAATAAAATATGTAGGAATAGAGCTAACTGAGGAGTTGAAAGATCTCTACAATGAGAATTTTAAAACATTGCTAAAAGAAATCAGAGATAATACAAATGGAAAAACATTCCATGCTTATGAATGGGAACAATCAATATCATTACAATGGCTATACTGCTCAAAGCAATTTACAGATTCAATGCAATTCTTATTAAATGACCAAGGAAATTCTGTATATAACTAGAAAAATAACTATTTTAAAATTTACATACAACCAAAAATTATCAGAAATGGGCAAGGCAATTCTAAGCAAAAAAAAGCAAGGCAGGAAGGACCATGCTGTCTGAGTTCAAATTATACTGTTACAGTAACAAAAACAACATGGTACTGGTACAAAAACAGACACATAGACCAATGGAACAAAATAAAGAGCCTAGAAATAAGGCCACACACCTACAACCATCTGAGTTTAGACAAATCTGACAAAAAAAAAAGCAATGAGGAAAGGACTCCCTAGTTATTAAATGCTGCTAGAATAACTGGCTAACCATATGCAGAAGATTGAAACAGAACCCCTTTCTTACACCATATATCAAAATCAATTCCAGATGGCCTAAAGACTTAAATGTAAAGTGAAAAACTATAAAAAGCTGGAAGAAAAACCTAGGCAATAACATTCTGAATATAGAAACAGGCAACGATTTCATGACAAAGACACCAAAAGCAATTGCAGCAAAATTAATAATTGACAAATGAAATTTGATTAAACTAAAGTGCTTCTGAACAGCAAAAGAAACTATCAACAGAGAGAAAAGACAACCTACACAATGGGAAAAATATTTATAAACTATACATCTGACAAAGATCTAATATCCAGCATCTGTAAGGAACTTAAACAAATTTACAAGATAAAAACAAACAACTCCATTAAAAAGAGGGCAAATGACATTAACAGACACTTTTAAAAAGCAGACATACAGGCATTCAACAAGCACACGAAAAATTGTGCAATATCACTGATCATTAGAGAAATACTCATGAAAACCACAATGAGATATTATCTCACACCAGTCAGAGTGACTATTACTAAAAAATCCAAAAAAATAAAATGTAGATGTTTGTAAGGTTTCAGAGAAAAGGGAATGCTTATACACTATTGGCAAGAGTTTATATTCATTCAACCATTCTGGAAAGCAGTGTGGTAATTCCTCACAGAGCTAAAAGCAGAACTACCATTCGACCCAGCAATCCTATTAATGGGCATATACCCAAAGGAATATAAATTATTCTATCAATAAGGCGCATGCATGTGTATGTTCATTATAGCACTATTCACAATAGTAAAGACATGAAGTCAACTGAAATACCCATCAGTGGTAGACTGGATAAAGAAAATATGGTACATATACACTATGGAGTACTATGCAGTTGTAAAAAGGAATTGGATAATGTCCTTTGCAGAAACATGGGTGAAGCTGGAGGCCATTATCTTTAACAAACTAAACTAATGCAGAAACAGAAAAATAAATACCATGTGTTCTCACTTATAAGTTGGAGCTAAGTGATGAGAACACATGGGCACAAAGAGGGGAACAAGAGACACTGGAGCCTACCAGTGGGGGGAAGGTGGGAGGAGGGAGAGGAGCAGAAAAAAAATACTATTGGGTACTAGGCTTAGTACATGGGTGACAAAATAATCTACTCATTGAACCCTTGAGACATGAGTTTACATATATAACAAAAATGTACATGTACCCCTGAACCTAAATTAAAAGTTTAAAAATTAAATAAATAAATAAATAAGTTTTCATCTAATTGGTAATCACAGAATGCTGTTACAACAAGAAAGAGACACCATTCCATATGTACCAGGATATCTAAAATTAAAACAAATGAAAATACCATGCTATCGCAAGAATGTGTAACTAGGACACCCATACATTGCTAATAAAAACTATAAATTGGTATGCACACTTCAAAAACCATAGTAGTATCTACTAAAACTGAACACAAATATTGGTCAGCTTGGATCTTTATAGCAAAATATCATAGTTTGGCTAGCTTAAACAGCAGACATTTATTTCTCACAATTTTGAATGCTAGGAAGTCCAAGATCAAGGTGTCAGTAAGGCAGGTTGAATTCTGAGGCCTCTTCTCTTGGTTTATGAATAGATAAAGTAAATAAAGTAATGAATAGATAAGTATCTAAATGTCCATCAATGGACTTTTGAATAAAGAAATTGTGGTGTATGTACAATGTAATATTATTCAGCTTTTGAAAAGAAAATTCCCCATTTGCAACAACATGAATTAACTTGAAGGGCATTATGCTAGATAAAATAAGACACAGAAAGAAAAAATTGCATCATAATCTCTCTTATATGTAGAATATTTAAAAAAGAAAAATCGCATACATAGAAATGGAAAATAGAAGCATGGTTACCAGAGGTGAAGATTGAGAGAGGGCAAGGGGGAATGTAGGCTGAAGGGTACAAAATTGAAGTTATATAGGATGAATAAACCTAGACGTCTAAAATACAGTCTGAGGACTATAGTTAAAAATACTGTATTGTATACTGAATATTTTCTCAGACAGTAGATTTTATGTGCTCTTACCTCAAAGAGGGTAAGAATGTGAGAGGATGGATATGTTAAATTGCTTATCTGCAGTAATCCCTTCACTATATATCGCTATATATATGTATATAAAAACATCATGCTGTACACAAAGGTAACTCATACACACTATTGCAAATTATATTAGCCATTATGGAAAACAGTATGGGGGTTTCTCAAAAAACTAAAAACAGAATTACAATGTGATGCAGTAATTCAACTACTGGGTATTTATCTCTAAGGGAAGGGAATCAGCACATCAAACCATCCCCATGGTTATTACATCGCGATTCACAATAGTCAAGATATTCAACCTAATTGTCCATCAATAGATGGAAGCATGAAGAAAATGCAGCATATATATACAATGCAATAATATTCAGCCATAAATCAAAGGAAATTCTGTCATTTACAGCAACATGGATGAAACTGGAGGTAATTATGTTAAATGAAATTAACAAAGCACAGAAAGACAAATATTTCATGTTCTCGCTCATATATGTGATAGCTGAAATATTGCTCTCATGAAGGTAGTGAGCATAATAATAGTAACCAGAGGCTGGAAAGGGTGTGAGGGTTTGGTGAAGAGAGATTGGCTAGTGAGTACAAACGCAGAGTTTTATGGAAGGAATAAGATCTAGAGTTTGATAGCTCAGTAGGATTATTATTTATTGAAGAGACTGTCTTCCCAATGTATTTTCATGACACCTTTGTTGAAAATGAGTTCACTGTAAATGTATGGATTTGTTTCTGGGGTCTCTATTCAGTTCCACTGGTCTATGTTTCTGTTTTTATGCCAGTACCATGCTGTTTAATTTTCTATAGCTCTATAGTATAATTTGAAGTCAGATTATGTAATTCCTCCAGTTTTATTCTTTTTGCTCAGAGTATCTTTTGCTTTTCTGGGTCTTTTGTGGTTCCATATAATTATCAGGATTTTTCTTTTCTATTTCTATGAAGAATACGATTGTTATTTTGACAACAATTGCATTGAATCTGCAGATTGCTTTGTGTAGTATGTATGTTTTAACAATATTGATTGTTCCAATCCATAAACAGAAAATGTCTTTCCATATTTTTGTGTGTCCAATTGAAGGTCTTTCCTGAGTGTTTTATAGTTTTCATTGTAGAGAACTTTCCTTTCCTTGATTAAGTTAATTCCTATGTGTTTAATTTTATTTGCAGCTATTGAAAATGAAACTACTCTTTTTGATTTATTTTTCAGATTGTTCACTCTTGGCATACAGAAATGCTACTGGTTTTTGTATGTTTATTCTGTGTTCTGCAACTTTACTGAGTTTTTTAATCAGTTCTAAATTTGGGGGTGGAATCTTTAGATTTTTCCAAATATAAGATTGTATCTTATGCGAACAAGGATAATTTGACTTCTGTCTTTCTAATTTGGATGCCCTTATTTATTTCTCTTGTCTGTTTGTTTTAGTCAAGACTTCCAGTACTATGTTGAATAACTGAGGTAAGAGTAGACATCTTTGTCATGTTCCTAATCTTAAAGTAAAGGCTTTCAGATTTTCCCTTTTCAATATGATACTAGCAGTGGGTCTCTCACATATGGCTTGTATTATGTTGAACTATGTTTCTTCTATTTCCAGTTTTTTAATAAAGAATTGTGGAATATAATTTAGTAATTTTTCAGAAACAATTAAAATATTCCTATGAATTTTGTTCTCCATTCTGTCAAGATGATGATTCACACAGATTGATTTGCCTGTGTTGAACCATCCTTGGTTCTTTGAGATAAATCCTACTTGGTCATAATAAAAGATCTTTTTAATATGTTGATGAATTTACTTTGCTAGTGTTTTTTGAGAAATTTTGCATCAGTATTTATCGATATATTGGCCTGTAGTTATTTTTTTAAGTGTCTTTGTCAGGTTTTGGTATCATGGTATTACTGACTTCATAGAATGCGTTAGGAGTATTCACTCTGCCTATATTTTTAAAAATACTTAGAGTAAGACTGGAGTCAGTTTTTCTTTAACTGTTTGGGAGAAATCAGTAATGAAACCACTGGGTCCCAGAATTTTCTTTGCTGGGAGACTTTTTATTAGAGCTTTGATTAATTTATTTGTTACTATCCTGTTCAGGTTTTGGATTTCTTCATGGTTTAATCTTAGTATGTTTCATGTGTCTAGAAATATATGTATTTCTTCTAGATTTTCCAAACTATTGGCCTATGGTTGCTTATAGTAGCCACTAATGATCCTTTGTATTTCTGTGATATCATTTGCGACGTCTCCACTTTCATCTCTGATTTTATTTATTTGGGTCTTCTCTTTTGTTTATTATTAGTCAGGCTAAAAATTTTAAATTTTGCTTATTTTTAGAAACCAGCTATTCAGATTATTTATCTTTTTTTTTAGTTTGTTCTTCATTTAAATTTCTTTTATTTCTGCTATGATCTTTATTATTTCTTTTCTTCCACTAATTTTGAGTTTGGTTTGTTCTTCCTTTTCTAGTTAATTAAGATGCCTCATTTGGTTATTTATTTGAAGATTTTCTCTTTTTAAATGTAAACACTTATAGTCATAACTTCTCTGTTAGTACTAGTTTTCCTGTATCCCATAGGTTGTAGTATGTCGTATTTTATCAACATTTGATTTCCAGAATTTTAAAAATTTTCTTCTTAGTTTCTTCACTGACGCACTGGCCTTTCAGGAGCATATTGTTTCAAACCCCATGTGTTTGTATAGTTTCCATAATTTATCTTGTTATTGGTTTCTAGTTTTGTTACCATGTTGTCAGAGAAGATGCTTGATATTATTTCAACTTTTTGAGTGTTTTAAAGACTTGTTTCTTGGCCTAACATATGGTCTACCTTTGAGAATGTTCCGTGTACATAAGAAAAAGAATGTGTATTCCACAGCCATTGGATGAAATGTTCAGCAAATGTTTCTTAGGTCCATTCGATCTGTAGTGCAGATAAGTCTCATGTTTCTTTATTGATATTCTGTCTGGATGATATGTCCAGTGCTGAAAGTCGGGTGTTGAAGCCTCTAGCTATTATCATAGTTAAGTCTATTATCTTTCTCTTTAGCTCTAATAATATTTGCTTTATACATCTGACTGCTCCAGCATTAAGTGCATATATATTTACAATCATTATATATTCCTGCTATATTAACCCCTTTATCATTATATAGTGCCATTGTTTGTCTCCTCTTACAGTTTTTGTTTTGATATCTACTTTGTCTAAGTATAGCTAGTCTTGATTGTTTTTTGGTTTTCAATGGCATGAAATATCTTTTTTCATCTTTTAATTTTCAGTCTATGTGTGTCTTTACAGGTGAAGTGTGTTTCCTGTAGGCAACAGATCATTGGGTCTTTTTTTTTTTTTCGTACATTGAGCTACTCTGTCTTTTGATTGGAGAGCTGATCCCATTTACTTTCAGTCTTATTGTTGGTAAGTAAGGACTTACTCCTGCCATTTTGTTATTTGTTCCTGGTTGTCTGTTGTATGCTTTTCCTTCTTTTCTTCCTTTCTGTCTTCCTTTTATTAAAGGTGATTTCCTCTAGTGGTGATTTACCTCATGTTTTTTCTTTTTTAATTTTAGTTATTTCTTTTATGTATTTTGATTTAAGGTTGCCATAAGGCCTACAAATACTATTTTATATCCCGTTATTTTAATTTGATAACAAGTTAACTCTCATTGCACAAACAAGCAAAAAGAAAACAAATAAAAAGTCTATACATGAACTTTGTCCCCATGCTGTTTAACTTACTGTTGTTTTTATTGATATATTACTGTACTGTTTATGTCTTGCAAAGTTGTGTTAGTTATTGTTATTGTTTATTGTTTGTTGGCTTATCTTTTAGTCTTTCTATGGAAGATAAGAGTACTTTAGGTACCACAATTACAGTGTCATAATATTTTTTGCTTTTCTGTGTGCTTAATATTACCAGTGAGTTTTCTACCTTCAGAGGATTTGTTTTTCTAGCTCATGAATGTTTTTTTTCTTTCTGTTTGAAGAACTCCCTTTAGCATTTCTTGTAGGACAGATCTGGTGTTGATGAAATCCCTCAACTTTTGGTTTCTGGAAAGTTTTTATTTCTCCTTCATGGTTAAATCATATTTTTGCTGGATATATTATTCTAGGGTAGATTTTTGTTGTTGCTGTTTCATCACTTTAAGCATGTCATGCCTCTTTCCTAGCTTGCACAATTTGCACTGAAAAGTTTGCTTCCTAACATACTGGATCTCCATTGTATGGTTTTTTTTAATGTTGCTATTATTACAATTTTTTTTACAACTTTTATTTTAAGTTCAGGGGTACAAGTGCAGGTTTGTTACATACGTACACTTCTGTCATGGGGGTATGTTGTACAGATTATTTCATCACTCAGGTATTAAGCCTAGTACCCATTAGTCATTTTTCCTGATCCTCTCCCTCCTCCCATCCTCCACACTCCAAAAGGCCCTAGTGTGTATTATTCCCTTCATATGTCCATGTGTCCTCACTTTTTAGCTCCCACTTATAAGTAAGAACATGTAGTATTTGGTTTTCTGGTCCTGTGTTAGTTTGCTAAGGATAATGACCTCCAGCTCCATTTATGTCCCTTCAAAGGTCATGATCTCTTTCTTTTTTATGACTGCATAGTATTCCATGATGTATAAGTACCATATTTTCTTTATCCAGTCTGCCATTGATGGGCATTTAGGTTAATTCTATATCTTTAGTATTGTGACTAGTGCTGTAATGAATGTGCATGTGTCTTTATAATAGAATAATTAATATTCCTTTGGGTATATATGCAGTGGTTGTTTTGCTGAGTAGAATAATGTTTCTGTCTTTCAGTCTTTAGGGAATCGCCACACTTGTCTTCCACAAGGGCTGAACAAGTTTACACTCCCACAACAGTGTATAACTGTTCTTTTTTCTGAACAACCCCACAAGTATCTGTTATTTTTTGTCTTTTTAATAGTAGCCATTCTGACTTGTGTTAGATGATATATCATTGTGGTTTTGCAGTGCATTTCTGTAATGATCAGTAATGTTGAGCTTTATTTCATATGATTGTTGACTGCAGTTATGTCTTCCTTTGAAAAGTGCCTGTTTATGTCCTTTACCCATTTTTAATGGGGTAATTTGTTTTTTATTGTTCATGTAAATTTATTTTAGCTCCTTATAGATGTTGAACATTAGATTTTTGTTGGATGAAGTTTGCAAAAATTTTCTCCCATTTTATAGGTTGCCTGTTAAATCTGTTAATAGTTTCTTTTGTTACGCACAAGCTCTTTAGTTTAGTTAGATTTCATTTGTCAATTTTTCTTTTTGTTGCAATTGCTTTTAGTGTCTTCATCATGAAATCTTTGCCTATGCTTATGTCCTAAATGTTATTGCCTAGGTTGTCTTCTAGGGTTTTTATAGATTTCGGTTTAGCATTTAAGTCTTTAATCTATCTTGAGTTAATTTTTTTTGTATATGGTGTAAAAAGGGGGTCCAGTTTCAATTTTCTGCATATGGTTAGCCAGTTCTCTCAGCACCATTTGTTGAATAGGGAATCCTTTCCCCATTGCTTGGTCTTGTCAGGTTTGTCAAAGATTGGATGGTTGTAGGTGTGTGGTCTTATTTCTGCAAATTCTCTATTTCTTCCATTGGTCTTTGTGTCTGTTTTTGTACCAGTACCATGCTGCTTTGGTTACTGTATCCTTGTAGTATCGTTTGAAGTTGGGTAGCATGATGCCTCCAGCTTTGTTCTTTTTGCTTAAAAATTCCTTGACTATTTGGGCTCTTTTTGGTTCCATGTGAATTTTAAAATAGTTTTCTCAAGTTCTGTGAAGAATGTTAATGATAGTTTAATAGGGATAGCATTGAATCTATAAATTTCTTTGGGCATTTTAGCCATTTAAAGGATATTGATTCTTCCTTTCCATGACCATGGAATGTTTTTCATTTGTCTGTGTCATCTCTGATTTCTTTTGGCAGTGGTTTGTAGTTCTCCTTAAAGAAATTGTTCACCTCACTTTTCTAGTTAACTGTATTCTTAGATATTTTATTTTTGTGGCAGCTATGAATGGGAGCTCCTTCTTGGCTTGGCTCTCAGCTTAACTGTTGTTGGTATATACGAATACCAGTGATTTTTGCACACTTATTTTTGATCCTGAGAATTTGCTGAAGTTCTTTCTTGGCTTAAGAAGCTTTTGGGCTGAGACTATGGGGTTTTCTAGATATAGGATCATGTCATCTGCAAAAAGGGATAGTTTGAATTCCTCTAGTCCTATTTGGACGTCCTTTATTTCTTTCTCTTGCCTGATTGCCCTGGCCAGAACTTCTAATACTATGTTGAATAAGAGTGGTGAGAGAGGGCATCCTTGACTTGTGCCAGTTCACAAGGAAAATGCTTCCATCTTTTTTCCATTCAGTATTATGCGTCGTGTTGGTTTGTCATAGATGGCTCTCATTATTTTGAGTTATGTTTCTTCAGTACCTAGTTTATTGAGAGTTTTTAACCTTAGTGGATTTTGAATTTTATTGAAAGTCTTTTTTGCATCTATTGAGATAATCGTGTGAATTTTGTCTTTAGTTCTGTTTATGTGATGAATCACATTTATTGATTTGTGTATGCTGAACCAACCTTGCATCCTGGGAATGAAGCCTACTTGATTGTGATGGATAAGCTTTTTGATGTGTTGCTGGATTCATTTTGCCAGTATTTTGTTGAGGATTTTTGCATAAATTTTCATCAAATATATTGGCCTGAAGTTTTCTTTTCTTGTTGTATCTCTACCAGTTTTTTGTATGAGAATGACGCTTGCTTCATAGAATGAGTTAGGAAGAAGTTCTTGCTCTTCAATTTTTTAATACTTTCCATAGGAATGGTACCAGCTCTTCTTTGTACATATAGTAGAATTCAGCTGTGAATCCCTCTGGTCCTGTGTTGTTGTTGTTGTTGTTGTTGTTGTTTTGGTTGTTAGGGTAATTAGTATGGCCTCAATTTCAGAACTCTTTATTGGTCTCTTCAGAGAGTCAATATTTTCCTGGTTTATTCTTGGGAGGGTGTATGTGTCCAGAAATTTAAACATTACTTCTAGATTTTCTAGTTTATGTGGATAGAGGTGTTCACAATATTCTCAAATGATTGCTTGTATTTCTATGGGGTCAGTGGCAATATACCCCTTGTCATTTCTGATTGTGCTTTTATTTGAATATTCTCTTTATTTTTTCTTTACTAGTCTAGCTAGTGGTCTATCTACTTTGTTAATTTTTTCAAAAAAAGCTAGCTCCTGGATTTGTAATTTTTTTGTGTCTCTATCTCCTTTTGTTAAGGTCTTTTTTTTTTTTTTTTTGAGACAGAGTCTCGCTCTGTTGCCCAGGCTGGAGTGCAGTGGTGCCATCTCAACTCACTGCAAGCTCCAGCTCACTGCAAGCTGCGGCTCACTGCAAGCTCCGCCTCCCGGGTTCACACCATTCTCCTGTCTCTGCCTCCCAAGTAGCTGGGACTACAGGTGCCTGCCACCATGCCTGGCTAATTTTTTGTATTTTTAGTAGAGACGGGGTTTCACCATGTTAGCCAGAATGGTCTCGACCTCCTGACCTCATGATCCACCCACCTCGGCCTCCCAAAGTGCTGGGATTACAGGCGTGAGCCACTGCGCCCAGCCTAAGGTCTGTTTTTGATTATTTCTTGTCTTCTGCTAGCTATGGGATTTGTTCACTATTGGTTCTCTAGTTCTTTAAGTTGTGATGTTAAGTTTTTAACTTGAGATATTTCTAGCTTTCTGTTGTGAGCATTTGGTGCTATAATTTCTGTTTTAACAATGCCTTAGCTGTGTCCCATAGATTCTGTTATATCTTTATTCTCATTAGTTCCAAAAAACCTGTTGTTTTCTCCCTTAATTTTATTATTTACCCAAAAGTCATTCAGGAGCAGGTTGTTTAATTTATATGTAATTGTATGATTTCGAGCGAATTTCTTAGTCTTGATTTCAAATTTGATCATGCTATGGTCCAAGAGACTGTTTGTTATTATTTCACTTCTTTTGCATTTGCTGAGAATGTCTTACTTCCGATTATGTGTTCAGTTTTAGAGTAAGTGCCATGTGACAATGAGAACAATTTATATTCTGTTGTTTTGGGGTGGAGAGTTCTGTGCGTTTCTATCAGGTCCATTTTATCCAGTACTGAGTTCAGGTCCTGAATACCTTAGTTAATTTTCTGTCTTGATGAACTTTCTAATATCGTCAATAGAGTGTTATAGTCTCCCACTATTGCTGTATGGGAGTCTAAGTCTCTTTGAAGGTCTCTAAGAACTTGCTTTATGAAACTGGTTGCTCCTGTGTTGGGCACATACATATTTAGAATATGTAAATCTTCTTGTTGAATTGAACCATTTACCATTATGTAATTCCCTTCTGTGTCTTTTAAGATCTTTGTTGTGTCTAAGTCTGTTTTGTCGGAAACTGGCATTGCAACCTTTGTTTTATCTGTTTTCAATTTGCTTAGTAGATTTATCTCCATGCCTTTGTTTTAAGCCTATTCATGTCATTGCATGCAAGATGGGTCTCTTGAAGACAGCATGGGTCTTGATTCTCTTTCCAGCTTGCCACTCTGTGTCTTTTAATTCAGACATTTAGTTCATTTACATTAAGATTAGTAGTAATATGTGTAGATTTGATTCTGCCATCATGATGTTAGCTGGTTATTTTGCTATTTTGCAGACTGGTTTATGTAATTCCTTTATAGAGTTACTAGTCTGTTCTTCAGTGTGTTTTTGTAGTGGCTAGTAATGGCCTTTTCTTTCCATATTTAGTGCTTCCTTTAGGAGTTCTTGTAAGACAGGTCTGGTGGTAAAAAATTCCCTCCGCATTTGCATGTCTGAAAATGATCTTATTACTTTCACTTATGAAGCTTAGTTTGACCAGATATAAAATTCTGGGTTAGGCTTTCTTTTCTTTAAGAATGTTGAATATTGGCCCCAAATCCTTCCTGGCTTGCAGGGTTTAAGATGAGGGGTCCACTGTTAGTCTAATGGGCTTTCCTTGGTAGGTGACCTGGCTTTTCTCTATAGCTGCCTTTAACTTTTTTTCTTTTTTTCATTTTCACCTTGGAGATTCTGATGACTATAGGTCTTAGGGATGATCTTCTCCTGGAGTATCTTACTGGGATTCTCTGCATTTCCTGAATTAGAATGTTGGCCTGTATAGCTAGTTTGGGAAAGTTCTCATGGATGATATCCTGAAATATTTTCAAAATTGGTTCTGTTCTCTTCATTACTTTCATATAAACTAATCAGTCATAGATTTGGTCTTTTATATAATCCCATATTTCTTGGAGGTTTTGTTAATTCCTTTTATTTTTTTTCTCTATCCTTTTCTGTCTGTTTTATTTCAGAAAGGCAGTCTTCAAGCTCTGAAATTCTTTCCTCCACCTGGTCTATTCTGCTACTAACACTTGTGATTGCATTATGAAATTATTGCAGTGTAGGCCAGCTCTATCAGGATGGTTACATGCTTCTTTATACTGGCTATTTTGTCTGTAAGCTGCTGTAATGTTTTATCATAATTTGTACCTTTCTTGCATTGGGTTACAATGCACTCTTTTAGCCCAGTGAACTTCAGTCCTATCCATATTCTGAATTCCACTTCTGTCATTTTAGCCATCTCAGCCTCAGCCCATTTCTGAACCCTTGCTGGAATAGTGATATGGTCATTTGGAGGAAAAAAAGGGAACTCTGGCTTTTTGAGTGTTCAGTGTTCTTGCATTGAATCTTTCTCATCTTTGTGGGCTTATTGACCTTCCATATTTGAGATTACAAACATTTGAAGCTTTTTTTTTTCCCTTAAAATAGTGTGGCCACTTTTCTGTAGGGATGCTGTGGTATGCTAGGGGTTCATTTGAGTCCCTAGGCAATACCATTTAGGACATAGGCATGGGCAGAGATTTCATGACAGAATTGCCAAAAGCACTTGCAACAGAAGCAAAAATTGACAAATAAAATCTAATCAAACTAAAGAGCTTTTGCACAGCAAAATAAACTGTCATCAGAGCAAACAGGCAACCTACAGAATGGGAGAAAATTTTTGCAATATATCCATCTGACAAAGGTCTAATATCCAGAATCTACAAGAAACTTAAACAAATTTACAATAAAACAACCAAACAACAAACAACCCCAATAAAAAGTGGGCAAAGGACATGAACAGGCACTTCTCAGAAGAAGACATTTGTGTGGCCAACAAACATATGAAAAACAGCTCAACATCACTGATAATTAGAGAAATGCAAATCAAAACCACAATAAGATACCATCTCATGCCAATCAGAATGGCAAATATTAAAATGTCAAGAAACAGCAGATGCTGGCGAGGTTGTGGAGAAATAGAAATGCTTTTACATTGTTGGTGGAAATGTAAATTAGTTCAACCATTGTGAAGAATGGTATGGCAATTCTTCAAAGATAGAGAACCAGAAATACCATTTGATCCAGCAGTCTCATTACTGGGTATATACCCAAAGGAATATAAATCATTCTATTAAAAAGATACATGCACATGTATGTTCATTGCAGCACTATACACAATTGCAAAGAGATGGAATCAGACCAAACGCGTATCAATGATAGACTGAATAAAGAAAATGTGGTACATATACATCATGGAATACTATGCAACCATAAAGAGGAATGATATCATGTTCTTTGCAGATACATAGATAGAGTGGGAAGCCATTATCCTCAGCAGACTAACACAGGTACAGAAAACCAAACACCGCATGTTCTCATGTATAAGTGGGAGTTGAAAAATGAGAACACATGGACACAGGGAGGAGAACTACACACACTGGGGCCTGTCTGGAGTTGGGGGAGCAGAGGGAGAGCACCAGGAAAAATAGCTAATGCATGTTGGTCTTAATACTCAGGTGATGAGTTGATAGGTGCAGCAAACCACCATGGCACATGTTTACCTATGTAACAAACCTGCACATCTTGCACATGTACCCCAGAACTTAGAATTTAAAAAAAAAGAGAAAGTGCAAATAAACAATAAAATGACAAATTGATTATTACCAGTGACCCCACAGAAATGTAAATAACCGTCAGAGATTATTATGAACAACTCTAAGCACAGAAGCTTGAAAACCTAGAAGAAATGGATAAATTATTAGACACATAAAATCTTCCAAGACTGAACCAGGAAGAAATTGAATCCATGAACAAACCAATAATGAGCTCAAAAGGTGAGTCAATAATAAAAAGCCTGCCAGTCAAAAAAAGCCCAGAACCAGATATATTCACACCCAAATTCTACCAGATGGATAAAAAAGAACTAGTACCATTCCTACTGAAAATATTCCAAACAATTGAGGAGGATGGACTCCTCACTAACTTTTTTTATGAGGATAGCATCAACCTGGTACCAAAACCTGGCATGGACAACGAAAAAGAAAACTTCAGGTCAATATCCTTGATGATTGTAGATCCAAAATTCCTCAGCAAAATATTATCAAACTGAATCCAGCAGCACATCAAAAACCTAATACATCACAATCAAGTAGGCTTTATCTCTGAGATGCAAGGTTGCTTTAACATATGCAAAACAATGTGTTATTTACCACATAAATAGAACTGAAAACAAAAACCACACGATCAGATCAATAGACACAGGAAGGCTTCCAGTGAAAATCAGAATCCCCTCATGTTAAAAATCCTCAACAAACTAGACATTGAAGGAACATACTTTAAAATAATAACAACAATCTATGAGCAACCCACAGCCAACATCACACTGAATGGGCAAAATTTGGTAGCATTCTCCTTGAAAAGCAGAACAAGACAAGATGCCTTCTCTCATTACTATTCAGTATGATATTGGAAGTCCAGGCCAGAGCAATCCGGCAAGAAATAAAAGGCATCCAAATAGAAAGAGAGAACATTAAGCTGTCCCTATTTGTAGACAGTATGATTCTATACTTAGGAAACCTCATAGTCTTTGTTCAAAAGCTCCTTGATCTGATAAACAACTTCAGGAAAGTTTTGTGACACAAAATCAGTGTAAAAAAATCAGTAGCATTTCTATACACCAACAGCAACCAATCTGAGAGCCAAATCCTCAAGGATCTAGAACTAGAAATACCATTTGATGCAGCCATCCCATTACTGGGTATATACCCAAAGGATTATAAACCATGCTGCTATAAAGACACATGCACATGTATGTTTATTGTGGCACTATTCACAATAGCAAAGACTTGGAACCAACCCAAATGTCCATCAATGATAGACTGGATTAAGAAAATGTGGCACATATACACCATGGAATACTATGCAGCCATAAAAAAAGGATGAGTTCATGTCCTTTGTAGGGACATGGATGAAGCTGGAGAGCATCATTCTCAGCAAACTATCGCAAGGACAAAAAACCGAACACCGCATGTTCTCACTCATAGGTGGGAATTGAACAATGAGAACACTTGGACACAGGAAGGGGAACATCACACACCAGGGCCTGTCATAGGGTGGGAGGAGGGGGGGAGGGATAGCATTAGGAGATATACCTAATGTAAATGATGAGTTAATGGGTGTAGCACACCAACATGGCACATGTATACATATGTAACAAACCTGCATGTTGTGCACATGTACCCTAGAACTTAAAGTATAATAATAATAAGAAAAGAATGCAATCCCATTCTCAATAGGCATAAATAGAATAAAATATTTAGGAATATAGCTAATCAGGGAGGTGAAAGTTCTCTAGAATGAGAGTTACAAAACATGTCACAAAGAAATCAGAGATTACACAATCAAATGGAAAAATATTTTATGATCATGGATAAGAAAAATCAATATTTTAGAATGGCTGCATTGAACAAAGAAATTTATAGATTCGATGCTACTCCTAGCAAACTACCAATGGCATTCTTCATTGGATTGGAAAAATTTATTTTAAAATTCATATGGAACCAAAAAGGAGCTTAAACAGCCAACACAATCCTAAGTAAAAAGAACAAAGCTGGTGGGATCACATTATCTAATTTCAAACTATACTACAAGGCTACATTGATGAAAACAGTACGGTACTGTTACAAAAACAGACACATAGAGTAATGGAACAGAATAGAGAACCCAGAAGTGAGACCGCACACCTACAACTATCTGATCTTTCACAAACCTGACAAAAACAAGAGATGGGAAAAGGATTCCCTATTCAATGAATGGTGCTGTGATAACTGGCTAGACATGCAGAAGATTGAAACTGGATCCCCTCCTTACACCATAAAAAATTAACAAAGATAAATTAAATATTTAGATGTAAGGCCTCAAATTATAAGAAAGAATCTTAGAAGAAAACAGGAAACGCCATTCTTTTCAGAAATAATTTTATGACTAGACCTCAAAAGCAATTTTAACAAAAATGCTCATGGGCTTAATTTGACAAGTTGGAGTTAATTAAACTGAAGAGCTTCTCCACAGCAAAAGAAACTGTTAACAGTAAACAGACAACCTACAGAATGAGAGAAAGTATTTGCAAACTATGTATCTGACAATAGTCTCATATCCAGAATCTTTAAGGAACTTAAACAACTCAGTAAGCAGAAAGCAAATAACCCCATTAAAAGGTGGGCAAAAGACATGAACAGACGCTTTTCAAAAGAAGACATATATGTGGCCAGCAAGCATATTAAAAAAAATACTCAACATCACTAATCTTTAGAGAAATGCAAATAAAACCACAATGAGATACGATCTCACACCAGTCTGAATGAGAAAGGCTGTTATTAAAAAGTCAAAAAATAACAGATGCCATTGTGGTTGTGGAGAAAAGCGTACACTTATACACTGCTGACGGGAATGTAAATTAGTTCAATCATTGTGGAAAGCTGTTTGGCAATTTCTCAAAGAACTTCGAATAGAATTACCATTGTACCCAGTAATCCCATTATTGAGTATATGACCAAAGGAATATAAATTGATCTACCATACAGACACATGCATGCATATGTTCATCACAGCCCTATTCACAATAGTAAAGATATAAAATCAACATAAATGCCCATCTGTAGTAGACTGGATAAAGAAAATGTTGTAAATATATGCCATGGAATACTATGCAGCTGTAAAATGAATGAGATCATATCCATTGCAGCACCTTGGATGGAGCTGGAGGTCATTATCCTTAGCAAACTAACAGAAACAGAAAACCAAATACTGCATGTTCTCGCTTATAAGTGGAAGCTAAACATTGAGTACGTATAGACAGAAAGAATAAAACAATGGACACTGGGTCCACGTTGAGGGTGGAGGGTTGGAGAAGGGTAAGGATCCAAAAACTACCTCTCAGTTTCTATGCATGTTTCTTGGGTGACAAAATAATCTGTACATCAAACACCCAGGACACACATTTTACCTATATACCAAACCTGCACATGTACCTTGAATGTAAAATAAAGTTAAAAATAAAATAAAATAAGAATACATAAACAAGTATAGTCATGTTACACAATACATATTTTCACCTTCTGCTACAGTTTGAATGTGTGTCCCAAAACACATGTGTTGGAAACGTAATCACCACTGTAACAGAATTAACAGGTGGGGCCTTTTAGAAGTGAATGAAAATTAGTAGATTAATAGATTAATGCTGTTATGGTGGGAATGGGTTCATTAATGCACATGTAGGTTCCTTATAAAAGGACAAGTTAGGCCTCCTTTTGTTCCCTCTCCCCTTCTCTTTTCCCTTACATCATGGGATGATGCAGCAAGAAAGCCCTCAGAAGATGCCAACCATTTGATCTCAAACTTCCAGTCTCCAGAATCCTGAGCTAATATATTTCTGTTCAGTATGAATTATCCAGCCTGTGGTTTTCTGCTATGGTAGCACAAAACAGACTAAGAAACAGTCCCACATGAAAAATTGGTTGAAATCACTTCTACTCAACATCCTAGTACATTTTTACTTGCTTAACAGTGAAGTGAAAGGTTTTTCATTCCAAACCTTCTTTCCTTTCACAGTATAAATAGCCATTTAGATAATGTCCATAGTATGCTGACCATCAAAATATCAGCAATATCACATGTGCAAGATGTTCATAGTTGATATTAGTATTCATAGTGCATATTAGTAATAAATCAGATGTAATGTATTGCACAAAATATGTAATAAGTTAATAAATGATTGGGTGTTGATATCAGAAATGAAAAGAGTTTTGTTTGATGGGATAATAGTATTCTACTTTAAGACTATTATACAACTAAACTCTCAAATTTGAAAGACCGATGGCCACTTATATCTGTTTGTTTCTTCTGTGGGTTATTAGGTGCAAGAAGAATGGTACTTTTACTTGATAAATGGTTTGTTTTTTAATGATATAAATAAAATGAAAGAATCCCCAATCTGAGAGTTATTTTACACAGCTGTTTGTGCAGTCAACTGCTAAATAATTTTGAGTGATTTATTTTTTTCTAGTAAAAATAGTAAAGGGGGGCTGAATTGTCTTGTCTATTGGAAGGAATATTATTATAGTTTTCCTTCTGCCAGTTCTTTCCACGGGAAGCATAATTAGTAGTATCAACGAGAAAACAAAAATATCATCAGTGACTGAACTAGTTACTGTACTGCATAGAATGTGAAACAAATAAATGAAATAACTGGAAGTTAAATATATATGGTTTGATTGGAAGAAAAGATGAACATTTAGTAGAACAAGGAAGCAGAATTACATATCAAAACAAATATTTAAATTCATTTGAATGATTTTTGGCAAATGATTCTTTCCTTACTGACTGGAATCCTTTCTTTAAGAAGTTTAAAAATAAATCATTATTAAATTGCTGAACTTTTGTAAATTCAGTAAAAGATAGACATGGCGTAAAGCAACTGGTCATACTTTGCCAACATTCATTCACTTATGCAGGCCTGTATCCATTAAACTGAGGACTTACCATTTGCCAAGCACAGAACTCAGTCCAGGGTACATGCAGAAGAACTATGATAAGGTTCCTGTTCTCAAGTACCTCAGTACAGGAGGGAAAACAACATGTACCTATGACACTATAATTCTATATTTTAAGTCACAGTTCTGTGAGACAGTTCATGGACTCGAGTATCTCTTATCTCCTCCTGCACATAAAAACATCTAAGTTTCTGCTTTAGAAATTTCCCATGCCCTAACTTTCAAGCTTGCTTTTTACCTCTTTTGTTCTGGTTTGCTTTTAGTGTTTCTCATTTATTTTTCTTTATCTGCCTAATTGCTATATATATATATATATATACACACACACATATATATACACACACACACATACACACACATATATATGTGTGTGTATATATGTACACATATATACTTTTGTGTGTATGTATATACATGTATGTGTGTATATAAATACATACTATATATATACTTTTGTTATATATATATATATATATATATGTATATATATATGTACACATACATATATACTTTTTTTTTTTGGAAACAGAGTCTTGCTCTGTCACCCAGGCTGATGTGCAGTGGTGTGGCCTCAGCTCACTGCAACATCTGCCTCCCACGTTCAGGTGATTCTCTTGTCTCAACCTCCCAAGTAGCTCGGACTACTGCCACGTGCCACCATGCCTGGCTAATTTTTGTATTTTTAGTAGAGAGGGGGTTTTGCCATGTTGGCCAGGCTGGTCTTGAACTCCTGGTCTCGAACTCCTGGTCTCAAGTGATCCACCTGCCTCTGCCTCAGTACTTTTTTACACAGCTTTATTTTCTTTTCTCTCCACTGAATACTGTTTCTCCAGCCCTTGGTTCCACAATCAGCCACCTTCAGGCCAACTCTGTTCCACCTCTGTGTCCTGTCAAGGAGAACAATATTCTACAGTGTGCTCTGGACTCAGGCCCTGAGGTTTCTGCTTGTCTTGGAGAAAGGGAATATAATAATAATAAGCAATGCACAAAATACTCTGAACGCTGAGAGGGGAAAACTCTGTGGTCTGCTCTTCCTGGGATGAAATGATGGGCATATGTGGTGTACAAAACTAACATATTAACTTTTGTTAAAGTGAATAACTTTTGTCTTTGAGGAAAGTCCCCTCAAAAGTGTCCCTAAGAAAAACAAATGTTATTAAAAATTGCTTCCTATTCTATTTTCTTAAATAATTTATATATGATTAGTCTTCTCTCTTTCTTAAATGTTTATTTGATACTTACCAATGAAACCATCTGCAGGCCTGGAATTTTCTTTCTGAGAAGTTTTCAATTATATGTTTCAATTATGTGTTAAATTCATTTAATTGATATATGACTAATCAGTTTTTCTGTCTTTCCTCGCAACAGTTTAATATATTTATTTTTCAAGGAACTTATCCATTTTATCTAATTATTGAATCTATTTGCATACAATTGTACATAATAATATCCTATTATATTTCATATATATTATTTGTGATGATGTCCTCTTTGTTATTTCTAATGTTAGTAATTTATTTCATTCTTATTTTTATTTTAATTAAGGTATCTATAGGTTTATTATTTTACTGATTTTTACAAAGAACTAGATTTTGCTTCAATAATTTTAAAAGAACCAATCTCTTTTTTCTTTACACCCATATCCAATCCATTTATTAATTTTCTGGGGTCTACCTTCAAAATATATACAAAATCTGACCACTTCTCAACACCTTTGTGATACCACTTTTGTCCAAGCTATTATCATCTTTAACCTAGATTACTAGAGTAGTTTTTTTCTGTCATTGTCCTATCTCTAATGACAATGATGTTTACATAGAAGTCATTTGATTCATATTTGTTGAATGAACAAGGCTCAACTTTATATAGTAATTATATAGTCATTCATCAGCATTCCTACTATATTTTTAAGTTTACTAACATCAGAAGTTCTTTTTGGTTAGTGGGAAATAGTAAAACAAAGAAATTAATGGACTCTAGCATCAGATTATCTGTGACTGAAATCTGAATTCATGATTTACTTTCTCAGTAACCTTGAGCAAGTCAGTTAATTTTATTCTGTAGCTTAATTTATCATCTGTAAAGTGAGAATAATATTTAAACCCTCCACATAGGGTGCTGTGAATCTTAAATGGCATAATACATTTAAAGCATTTAAGGTAGTTCTTGATAAATATTAAAATACCCAATACATATTAGTTTAATTATTATTATTTATTTTATGTCCCTCTCAGTATCAGCCTAATACCTCAGAAACATTAGGTCTCAGTGGTATTTATTCTGTCAAGTATGTCACAAGAGTTTGCCGGTATGTAGCATTCACAGAAACATTTTCGATAAGCTGTGAGTTATTAACAAAAAAGTTATGTCCAATAAGAAACCTTTTCCTTGTTTACAAAAAGATCCCCCCAAATAGAAGCTAGTCCTAAGATATAGGCCAAAAATATCTGTTCTGTCACAATCAGAAAACGTTGTGTTAGAAAAATGAACATAGTTTATGGGTTGCATAAAAATGAAATATAAGTATCTTTCACAAAATGCTGATTTTGTGCTGGATATTATAAACTTTAGGCATTGAGGCACAGTAGTTTTGTTCCCTGTGACATAAAAATAGATGAAGTAGGTGAAGTAGAAAAAAGAGTAGATGGAGACCTCAAAATACTTTTACTCCTTTTAGTTTCTTGAAAGTCTTAAAAGACTATTTCATGTTCTATAAGGGTTATTCCACAAAAAGTAGTTGTTAGGTAAATTCCTCTTGTGGCTTACTGAAGATTAAAGTAATTGAGCAAAATAATTATTGCTTTCTCTGCAATGTATTAAATTTTAAGACGAGTATTCTGGGCACAACTTACCACTCAACTGTTCTAGATTTTGAAAGCCAAGAATTCTGAGTGAAGCTGTGGACTCAAAGACTAAGCATTTTATGTTTTATAGAAAAAACAAAACATGCTGCTGAATATCTTTTTTTCCTCTCAAAATTTCATGCTTCTCTTCTTTGGTTCTTAAAAAGCCATGGCAATTTGGGCTACACTGTCAGTCAAGGATAGTAGGTCTATAAGTTTCCTCACATAAGTTTTTGAGATATCTTCTGCAATATAAGCACAGCCAAAAGAAAACAAGATCAGGCAAGTTTGCTGACTATTATCTTCCCCATAATGGAATTACACTGAGCCAGCCACTACCTTTATTTCCTCTCATCCATTGGTCATAGAAGTACTTTGAATTCCCCTTTAATGATATTTAAAGTTGTAGAGTGATTTTTTTCCAATTGATTAAAAGTAACTTTTCCTAAATCCATGCTGTATTTGCAATATTTATTTTTATGTTTTGCTTCATTCTTATATGTTTTAGATGAATTAAGATAAGGTTAGTGTGCAATGGGTAAAAATCTGTCAGGACTATAGAATTCTACAAGTTTCAATAATCACAAGCTCTCCCCACCTAGGCTCCTTGATTCCTTGGATAACTGATATATCTATGTTTTGTATAGTTTCAAAAACCCTTACCTCTTGATCTGTACTGTGATTACACACTGACGGAACATAAAATAGTAGATTTTAAATAGGGAATTTTAAATAGGAGAATTCAATTACGATGATGATAATAAATAAGTTACATTTTAACAACTGTGTGGTTTTTGTAATCTAAGACTTATAAACTCAGAGACTCACAGAATTTTGGAATTAAAAGCATTAAAGATAATCTAATCAAGTGTTTTTTTAAAATAAGTACTTGTGTCTCTGACAGGATTATCCCATTATAACCAAGGGATATATAAAGTGATAGGATAAGCATGGTATATCAGTTGGTGCCAATTTCACTCAGCCTTTAGTATTTTGAAACTGTATTTTTATTTGTCCTCCTCTTATGCCGTAGTCTATGCATGAAGTACAGGTACTCAGGCTCTACACACATTTCTTTAGGCGGATTTCTGTAATTTTATGGGCTTAATGGGTATTTGGGAAATAGAAGTTTGAGAATGATGTTGAAAAGTGTTGCCAATATGACCAGAAGATGATTGGATTGCAATATAGAATCATGGAGGGACAGCCTTACACAGCTATTGAAAGACCCACTAGCTAAGTGTCATTCCTGAATGTTAAAAAAAATTGTGTGGCGGGCACCTGTAGTCCCAGCTACTCGGGAGGCTGAGGCAGGAGAATGAACCTGAGAGGTGGAGCTTGCCGTGAGCCAAGATCGCGCCACTGCACTCCAGCCTGGGCGGCAGAGCGAGACTCCTTCTCAAAAAAAAAAAAAAAAAAAAAAGAAAGAAAAAGAAAAAGAAAAAAGAAAAACTGTGAGACCCATTGCAAGGGCAAAGAGACAGCCCTTTAGGGGTTAAGGTTATTTTAGATCATACCCTACATCTACTGATCTATGTACTATGGTAGCAATATTTGAATAACACATACCTAGTGCAACTCCCTTATTGTATAGAAAATTGAGGTCAGAGAAATTAAGTGATTTCCTGTGGTCACATGACTAAAGTCACCAGCAGAGAACAGAAACTAGTTTTCTGCCTTCAAAGACATTTCCCTTTTCACTGCACCACATTGATTCTTCTCATACAATTCCTGGTGAAATAGTTACTTTTGCTTTGAGACTTGATGACTTATCTTGTAAATGTGTACTCACAGCCCTGTCACAATTTTATTGGGCTCTCTGGAAACAAAAAACAAGTATGCCTTGTCTTCTGAAAACTGCCTTTTTTGCCATAAATATCAAATAGGCTTGTTTCTAAAACTTAATTTTCTTTAACGTTTTTCTTAGTGTTTGATAAGGATTTCAGGTTATAAACACTAGTCTATGATAGAACTTCAAAATTTCTTATTAGCCCTTTGTTTTAGGGCACGAAGTTTAGTAACTATTTAAAAAGGTAACTTTGTTTCAGGTAGATGGCTACGTACATATCCTACAGTCTAGCATAATCTTACCTGTGTAGCTCAGGATCTCTAAATGTGTGAGAAGACATGAAAAAAAAAATCCTCTGAATTTGGCAAGGTATTATCTCAGTGATTCTTATAAAAAGGATTTTTTTTTTTGCAAGCTCAGAATGTGGACAATGGTCTCTAATTTACTCGCTGTTTTGCAACTGAGAAACTGGGAATATAGCTTCTGATAATAGCAAGACAGTAACTGGCTACAGCTGTATACATGCAATAGACTGAATAATGCCACCCCAAAGATATCAACATCCTAGTCTCAAAACCCTTTGAAAGACTTTACATGAAAAGGGGACTTTGAGGGTGTGATTCAGGTAAGTATCTTGAGAAGGAAAGATGAACTTGGATTATCCAGGTGGGACCAGCATAACCAAAAATTTTCTGAAGAGACAGAGGCAGGTGAATCAGAGAAGGAGATGTGATTATGCAAGTAGAGAGAAGTAAGGTGATTTGATGATGAAAGCAGAGATCACAGAGAAAGAGATTTGAAGATGTTGCAATGTTAGCTTTGAAAGTGGAGGAGGGAGGCCATGCATGAGTCAAGGAAGGCAAGTGACCTCTAGAAGCTGGAAAAAGCAAGGAAATGGATTATCCTCTAGATCCTTCAGAAGGAACTCAGCCTTGTCAACACCTTGATTTTTAAAATTTAACATTTCCAGAACTGTAAGATAAATATGCTGCTTTACACCACTCAGTTTATGGTAATTTGTTGCAGCAGCAGCATGAAACTAATACAATATGACTGTATTCAATGGACTATAAGAATATAAAAGAGTGTTAGCTAAGATGAAAGGGGAACACAAACCATTTTCTCTTTGCATTTAATCCATACATGCTTTATTAGTGTTTAGAAAATCAGAACTTTTAAAGAGAATAGATTACTTCAAATGTTAGTATTTCTTCAGATGCCCTAAAAACTCCAAAGAAAATGTACTCATAGAATGTACTCATAGGCATGTGAATTCAAACTTCATTTAAAAATGTACATGGACACTAGAATCCTCCATTGATTGGAATTTCAGACTAAAAAGTAAAATAATACAAAGGGTAGAGTACACTTACTGGGCCACATAGTATTTATTTATTTTATTTTATTTTATTTTTTGAGATGGAGTTTCACTCTTGTCACCCAGGCTGGAGTGCAGTGGCACGATCTCAGCTCACTGCAACCTCTGCCTCCCAGGTTCAAGCGATTCTCCTGCCTCAACCTCCTGAGTAGCTGAGATTACAAGTGCCCACCACCACGCTTGGCTAATTTTTGTATTTTTAGTAGAGATGGGATTTCGCCATTTTGGCTAGACTTGCCTCGAACTCCTGACCTCAGGTAATCCACCTGCCTTGGCCTCCCAAAGTGCTGAGATTACAAGCGTGAGCCACCACACCTGGCCAACATAGTATTATGCATTTCATATGTGACACTGCTTATTCCTTAAAGCCTATAAATAGGTACTATTATTATTATTATCAATTTGTAAAGGATAGAACTGAAGCTCAAATGGGTTGAATAAATTGTCCAGCATCATACAGCTAGTAAATGGCTGATATCTGATTCTAATGCATATAGTCACAAACTATGTGTGTTTGTGTGTATGTGCTGGTGTTTTATTTGTTATTGAAATATAATGTAGATAGAATTAAATATCTTAATCTTAAGTGTATAGGGTGATTAAATTGTACAGATATATACATCAATGAAACCCTGTTAAAAATACAGAATATCTCCAGAACTTCCAAAGCTCCCTGTTCCACTTCACAGTCAATACCCCCTTAGAGATGATTACTTACTGACTACTAATAATGATATGTCAATTACTTTTGCCTGTTGGTGATTACTGATGTTCAGATTATGTGATGCTTAGAAATCTCATCAATTAACAAAGAGAGTTTTGCATTTGCATGTGTTGAACAAATATATTTGATCACTTATGGGCAAGACACAAGAATCGGTGCTGAAGTGAGCCAAACAAATTTCATTTCTACACTGAAGGAACTCACAGTTCTAAAAGGTAAGACAGATAAGTAATAAACAAAGGAAAGTATGAGTTTCCATTGTTTTACATAAAAGGGGTTTCGACATAGACTTGGGGAAGTCGGGGAAGGTTTCCTGAAGGAAGAAATTTCTATCTTAAAGAAAATTATAGAAAATTATTACCCTAAACTAGGTCACACTTGAACGTGAATGCTGTATCATTAATAATTGCACAGAAGACAACAGGACAAAATAATAATTATTATAGGAAAATTGAAATATACAGTCAGGCTATTTATCTTATATCTGAAAGATGACTGGGAGTTAGCTGGGTAAAGATGGAATGTATGGAGAAACACATTTTAGGCAGCAGAGCTAGCATTTACAAGGGCCAAGATGGAAGAAAAAGTATACAGCATATGTAGGGAATTAAACATAGTTTAGTATCAGTAGACGTAATATTAAAGTTGGAAAGTGGTAAGATATGAGGCAGAAGGAATAAATAAGTACCCAATCATATATACCCACGTAATGGAAAATTATGAATGAATATAAGGTAGAGGACTGACATAATCATATTTACATTTCAGGAAGATTTCTAGAGCTACAATGTGGAACACAAATCAGAAGGAGGCAATACTAGAGATAAGTATTCCAGTTAGACTGCAATAATCTCAGTAAGAGTTGATGGCCTAGACTAGGGTAGACTAGCATAGTTGGAAAGATATTAGTGGATTCAGAATACTTAGGAGGTAGAACTGGTAATACTTGGTTATTGCTTCCCTATAGGGTTAGAGGGAAAACGAGGAATAATACATGACTCCCAGATTTGAGGCTTAATCAAATGCATGGATGTTAGTTCTTTTTCCATTTACTGAGAATGGGCACAAAGAAGATGAAAATTAACCAGGTTTTTGGGGAAGTTCTGGGACGTAGAGAAGAACCTGTTGATTCTATGTCCTGTATGTCCTCAGCTTATCTGAGTTCACTTCTCCCTGTTGCACATAGGCCCTATGCACACAGACAGCTTCCTCAAGTGCCTATGTATTCTGACTTCATTAAACTTTCATGCTCAGTCCACTCTCAGGGAGGATTGGAAGTGCTAGAGAATTAACACTACCAAGGACTGTTGTAAAACAACTACCCTACAAGAATCTCTCAAGGGCAAGAATGTATGATTGTTTCCCATAAACTGCATGTGGGCCAAACATGAGCTAGTATGGGTGTGTCTTAGTTGTAATGTCTAAGAGAATAACTGAAAGGGCAAGGGGATCTCTGTGAAGAAGACTGGAAATGGTACTGCCAGATGCCTTGGGGCTATGGAGCAAGTGGCAGGCAACTAGCCAGAATAGGACAGGATTTACTCCTGTCAAGGGAATTGCAGATGAGAGATCCCCAGTGATGGTGAGTGTTTTTGAAGAACTGAAAGTCCACAGAAAGTCAGCATGCATGAAAGGACTGCCAAACCCTGAGAAAACATGAAGACAGATTATGACATTTTCAGTCAGATGAGAAATTTGCTACTTTCATTGTATCTTTAGTTTCCTCATTCTCTAGCCTTGGAGGGCAAATTAAATGAGAATAACAACTAGGAGAGAAGGATTATAAATACCATGTCGGAAAAGATGGAAATAGCCATCATGCATCTCTGCCACACACTTGAGTGTGTCTTGCTTTCAACATGCCCACTTTTTTACTCTTGTATGAGACTGGATATTTTAATTTTGGCCAAAAATCCTTGTATAACTCATAAATTACCAGAAAAGTCATGTTGCTGGCTTGAATTTTATGTCCAAGTGAATAAAATGCAAAGGGGCAAGGGTTATAAAATTAAATTACTTTATGATTATATCCTATTCATCATTTTTGTTTTATACATCATTTACACTTATAGATTTTGTCATTTACTTTTTTACAAAAATACTACAGAAAATTTTCTGCAACTGTATTTCTCATAAAAATCTATAATGACATCTTCTCGTGTCTCTTTTCATTTCAGTACATAGAGATCTACCTCATTCTTTTAGCTGCTACATATTACCCCATTGTATAGCTGCACTATAATGAATTTAACTGCTCTTTTAATGCTGGACACTAAAGCTGTATGTAATTTTTACTACTACTAATGCTGCTACGAACATATAAAAATCTATCTCTATATATACACATATGTGTATGTGTGTGTGTGTGTATATATATATGTACACACACTGATGCACAAGCATATGCAGTAGTGAACTAGAATAGATTTCTAGAAGTAAAATTATTAAAACAGAATTCACATCTTAAATTTTCATGTCATTACTAGATTTATTTCTGAAAAGGTTTAACCAATCCACATTGTTGAGGTTTTAAAATATGTCTATAAATTATTTGATACTACTCCCTTCAAAAGAAAGGAATCAAATATTTTTACCTTTGAGTATGAGCTGTACTTAGTGACTCTCTTCCAAAAAATAGAATGTGACAAAGTGATAATGTGTGATTTCCTAAGCTATACCATAAAAGGCATTGGGATTTTTTCCTCTTTCTCTTATACCACTCTTTCTGAGGAGAAGTCAGATGCCATGTTCTAAGGATACTTAAGGAAATCTATGAAGAGGTCAATTTTGTGAGAAAATTAGTCCTTGATATGGTTTGGCTCTGTGTCCCCACCCAAATCACATGTCCAATTGTAATCTTCACGTGTGGAAGGGAGGAGTTGGTGGGAGATGATTGAATTATGGGGGTGGACTTCCTCCATGCTGTTCTCATGATAGTGAGTAAGTTCTCACGAGATCTGGTTGTTTGAAAGTGTGTAGCACTTACACCTTCCCACTTTTTCTCTTTCCAGCTCTGCCATGGTAAGATGTGCCTGCTTCTCCTTAACTTTTCGCTACAATTGCAAGTTTCCTGAGGCCTCTCAGCCATGCTTAGTGTACAGTCTGCAGAACTGTGAGTCAATTAAATCTCTTTTATAAATAAGTGACCCAGTCTCAGGGAGTTCTTTAAAGCAATGTGAGAAAGAACTATTGCAGTGCTCTTGTTAATAGCCAGCAAGGAACTGAGACCTTCTGTGAAATAGCCATGTGAGTAACCCATCTTGGAAGTGGATCTGTAAGGAGCCCTGGACTATGTTTTGACTACAACCTCACGAAAAATCCCAAACCAGAATAATCCATCGAACTAGCTTCTGAATTCCTAACCCACAACAACAGAGATTTTTTAAAAAATGTGTTGCTTTAAGTTGCTAAATGTTGATCAAATATTTACACAGCAACAGATGCTGCTACGAACATATAAAAATCTATATATACACATATGTGTGTGTATGTCTGCGTGTGTGTATATATATATATGTACACACACTTATGCACAAGGATATGCAGTAGTCCACTAGAATAGATTTCTAGAAGTAAATATATACATATCTAATACATATATTTTCACAAAAATAAAATATTAAGAAATATATTTAATACATATATTTTCACAAAAAGTGAATAAAAGTAGTCTTTTTTCTGATATTCTGGGGAATATCAATTCTACTTTTGTTATTATATTGTAAGTTTAATTTTAAAATGTGGATCAAGTGAACATGCTTCCTGCTCATTTTTATTTTTCCAGCCTCACATATTGAAGTGCTTAATATTTGGTCTTTGGACAACATTTATTTTTCGAGTTCACTTCCTTGAGAATTTCATTTAATCTTATGGCTTGGGAAACTTACTTTTACCCTTTGATATAGTTTGTATATTTGTGCCCTACAAATCTCATGTTGAAATGTGATCTCCAGTGTTGGAAGTGGGGCCTCGTGGGAAGTGTTTGGGTCATAGAGGAAAGTCCCCCATGAATGGCTTGGTGCTGCCCTCATGGTAATGAGTTAATTCTCCTTTTTAATTCCCTTGAGATCTGGTTGTTTAAAAGAGTCTTGAACCTCCCTCCTCTCTTTCTCCTTACCTTGCCATGTGACACACCTGCTCCTTCTTCTCCTTCTGCCATAACTGGAAACTTTCTGAGATCCTTACCAGAAGCAGTTGATGTTGCCATGCTTCTTTTACAGCCTGCAGAACCATTAGCCAAATAAACTTTTTTTCTTTGTAAGTTACCCAGTCTCAAGTATTCCTTTAGAGTAAGGCAAAATGGACCCTTGTAAATCTCAAATTTATATCTCTATTCCTGACCTCACCTGTACAACTACCTGCTCAGTGTCTTTACTTGGATGTCTAATAATCATTGTCAAAGTATTCTGACTAAGCCATGTTTATGATCTTTCCCTTAAACTGACACATCTGCAGTTTGTCCCCTCTCACTATAAGGCAAGTCTATCTTTCTAGTTGCTCAGGCCAAATATCTTGCAATCACCCTTAATTTATATCGCACATTATGGTTAATCCATCAGCAAATTCTGTTGACTATACCCTCAAAAGATATCGAGAACCCACTTACTTTTCACTACTTTTTCTGCCATATTCATTGTCCAAGCTAGCTAATACCATCTTGAATAGTCTACTTCCTTCCACCCTTGATCCCTACAGCTTATATTTCACATAACAAGGAATGTAATCTTAAATAAAAAAAGATGAGAGAAGTCATGTCAGTTCTTTGCTGAAAACCTTCTAAAATTTTCCCATTCTATATAGCATAAAGTGAAAGCTTTACAGGGACCTGCAGATACTCTCACTAACCTCATCTTCTACTGTGAGTCACTGCATACTGTATGCAACCACACTGACCTCCTAGTTGTTACTCCAAAATTTCATGCAAGTTTCAGCCTCAGGACATTTTGATGAAGTTGTTTGTCTCTTTCCTACTAATCTGTGAGTGTATGCACATATTTAAAAATTTTTTGCCCATCAAATTCTTATTTAACATGAGATCTACTCTCTTAAAACATTTTAAGTGCACAACACACTATTGTTAACTACAGGCACAATGTTGTACAGAAAAAATCGAGCACCTGTTCATCTTGTGTAACTGAAACATTATGTCCCTTGAACAGCAATTCCCCATTTCTCCCTGTTATGCCTCTGGCAACCACCATTATACTCCTTGTTTCTATGAGTCTATTTTAGATCTCTCATATAAGTGAAATAGTGCAGTATTTGTCCTTCTTTGACTGACTTATTTCACTTGGCATAATGTCCTCCAGATTTATTTGTGTTGTCACAAATGGCAGGATTTCTTTCCTTTTTAATGTTGAATAATATTCCATTGTGTATATTCAAATAGATGATAGATAGATAGATAGATAGATAGATAGATAGATAGATAGATGGATACATAGATATATAAGCAGATGTATAGATCACATTTTCTTTATCCATTTGTCTGTCATCGGACATTGAGATAGCTTTTATATCTTGGCTATTGTGAATAATGCTGCAATGAACACGGGAGTACAAATATATCTCCTCTATCCTGAGTTTAATTCTTTGGATACACAGCCAGAAGTGGAATTGCTGGATCATAACAGTAATTCTATTTTTGCTTTTTGAGGAACTCTCATTCTGTTTTTTATAGCTACTGTACCATTTTTCATTCCCATCAACAGTGTATAAAAGTTCTAGTTTCTCCACAACTTCATTGTTTTTTTGATGAGTCATTCTAACAGATGTGAAGTGATGTCTCAAGAAAATGCAAATCAAAGCCAATAAAATTTGCTTTATTTATGTTTAACAAATGTGACTGGTTTTACTCATCCTGCTGGGATTTCTTTTTTTGCAACTAAATTTAAAAATGTGTTACTACTTTACTTTAAATACAAATTAAAGCGTTCTATATAGATCATGTTAATTGCAAGAAAATGTTTCATCATTTTAACTCTTAATATAATCCAGAAGAAATGCATATCTTTAAAAGAATTATGAATGAATAGAAAACTCAACTTTAATTACAATTCCTGCCTAATAAAATTTTTTAAGTAGTATATGTTGGATGTGGCCTGCAGAAGGATGTGGCTCATTTTGATAGAAAAGATTCTAGTTGTCTCTTTTGCAGCTTATTAATTGCTGCAAAAGACATGTTTTGTTTCTTTGGTTCCCCTGGAGGATTAAATACCACATAACATATGTTAGATTTTGGCAATCTTAGGTTTACAGAAGTTTAAATATATTTGAAGCTGTTGGGCATGAAATTATTTAATTTATCTCATGAGACGAAATGCTAACAATGCTTTAACCAAATAAAACTGCTTTCTATGCACACATTTCTTCATATCACAAGAAGCTACTGCATTAGCTATCAGATCTAAAGACTTAGTTAATACCTGGATAAAAGATAAGTACAACAAACAACAATGTATTCTTTGCAAAAATAAAAGATATGTTAGCACAGGAAAAACAAAAATGTTAAAATATTTAAAAAATAAGAAAGAGTCTTTAGAAAGTGAATTTTTTTCACCAAAATTGTACAGATGTATGACTATGTAGTAAGAATGTAATAGCTAAATTCTGTCATATAAACTGAAAAATAAAAACTTGAAAGCTAGCAAACTAATTACAAGTAATTTAATGGCAACACATCTAAATGAAATGGTAATTACACTTAATTTTTATTTAAAATTAATATAAAATAGAAACTTGACCCTTTCCTCTGATATGTAGAAAACCACAAATTTGATCCAGATTAGAGCTATTTCAAAAAACAATTTCTGAAAAATGTAATTTATATCAGGAAGAATTCTGAATTGTATCTTTTTTTTATTTTTTCACAAATTTTTGAGACACATATTGAGTTGACATGACCTTTAAGGTACTTATGATCTACTCATTCTTAAATCTGAAAAGGTAAAAAGACTTAAATTTCAAAAATTTATTGAACTAAAATCAATTCTAAGACCCATAAGGTATAGAAGATTGATTTTATCTCTGTAATATATTGCTTCAACAATATATTATCTTGGTTATAATGGCAGGCAGAACAATGGTTTATTATTTTCATTTCTTTAAATTATGAGCAGGAAGCAGATAATCATGAATAACTGAAATGGAGTACCAAATCATATAAGACTCCAAGTAAAATTTATCTGATATATATATCAGTATCTATGTCTTTATATAGGTATCTATTGATCTACATATCAGTCTATATAAAGAAAGAAATTTTGACACTGCAAAGAAAACTGCTGTAAGCAACCTTGTACATTATTCCCTTACAATTTGTATTTTGATTTACTTAGAATAATTTCCAACAAGTAAAATCTCTGTTTCAAATATGAAGAATTTGTACGACAGTATTTTGTCAGGTACGGTTAAATATTTCTGTCCACAAACAATAACCCCTTTTTGGTTAATAAATTGTTTCTCTTCTGCAGTTTTATTCTCTCTCTCTTCTGGACAGTGCTGAATTCACATTACCTAAATAGGACTTCTCTGACTCACATATTTCTCTATGTTGCTTATCCCTTGGGCTAACACGGTGAAACCCCGTCTCTACTAAAAAAATACAAAAAAAATTAGCCGGGCATGATGGCCGGCGCCTGTAGTCCCAGCTATTCGGGAGGCTGAGGCAGGAGAATAGTGGGAACCTGGGAGGTGGAGCTTGCAGTGAGCGGAGATCGCGCCACTGCGCTCCAGCCTGGGCGACAGAGCAAGACTCCGTCTCAAAAAAAAAAAAAAAGAAAAGTGTTGATATCAGTGATTTGGCTCTTGGTAACTGGTTGTTCTCTTATACTCCCATTACAAATTGAGTTAATTTAATTATCGGAGATCAAAATTATGTGTTTTATTGTACTTCTAAGGACAGTTCTCTAGCACCTCTGTATACTGTCTGTAATCCGCCACAAGAATTTTTTACTCTTGTTTTAATTTCTCATTGCATTAGAATTTGTGGGCTAGCAGTAACTTGCAATGATTAATTAATTTGTATAGAATTTCTTCTGCTACAATACTGAAAAGGGGCAATAATTTGACAAAAGTGCCATTTTCATCCAAGTATTGTGTGCCAAGAGGAACCCAAATCAAGAAAATGAAAGGAAGTTATCATTAAACCAATTAAAACAGTAAGGAAAAAAAATCAGTGAAAATATGAGAACAGGCAAATAAAAAGCAAACATTTCCTTAATGAAAATGAGAAGAGGAGATTCGGGTAAAAAAATTAGAGGCAGGGAGGAGCTTTGGCTTTAGGTCTAATGTGCAATCAAATTATATTTTACACAAATTTGGTGTTCCAATTTTAACTTAATGCCATTAACCTCCTCTGTTCAATAAAGCAAGGGTAACAAAGCAATGATATTATAATACCTCAGTAACATGGCATTATTAAAGAATGTTTTAAAAAGTCTTCAGAAGTAGCTTATAGTCCAGATTTTGTGTACTTTAAGAATTTTCATGTGGTACTCCATGATGGTCAAAAATTGATAGTCACTATTTTCAATATAGACGTGGCTGCAAAGAAGAACAAGTCCACTGAGAGGGTAGTACAGGTTAGTTGTTAAGGGCAGAGTTGTTGGTCTGGTTCAAATAGTTCTGATGTGTGGCCTTGGCCAAGTAATTTATTTTGTCTGAATTTCACTTTTTTGTAAGTAAAATTAGAAAAATAATACCTGCTTTATAGGACAACAATAAGTTTATATAGAACATTTAACACACTGGTTGGTAAATATTAAATGTTTAATAATTTATAATAATTATTATTAACTTCTAATTATCAATAATGTAATCCACTTGCTTTACTGAGTGCCCAATGCATGGCCAAAACTATGTCAAGCATCATGAGATAAAAGACTAGTTCTCTGCTCTCCTGATCAACATTTTCCAATACAAATATAATGCAAGTCACATATGTAATTTAAAATTTGCATAGTAGCCACATTTAAAAAGTAATAAGAAAGAAATGAAACTAATCATGATAGTATATTATATTTAACCCAAAATATATATTATTATCCAATTATGTGTCCCTTGCCACATTTCAAGGGCTAAGCAACCGCATCTGATTAGTGGCTACACTACAAGGCAATAAAGCTTCAAAATTTACAATGTCAGGAAGCAAAAGTAAAGGATCTCAATGAAAGAACTATAGGTGAATCAAATGCTAAACTTTGTGTGACTGACCTAAATTCAGCAAAAGATACTTAGCAAGAAGCTAAGAGTAGAGATATACATATATAAGAAAAAAAAGATCAGAAGTTAATGACTGAGTTATCAGAATGCTTTTTGAAGGATTACGAGACTCTAAATGAATCTTGACTGATGGATAAGACATGTAATAAGGGGAATTGTCCTTTCAGTACTGAATACAAGGATACTATTTATTTGATGCAACAAATCTATTGGCAGGGAAAATCTCACTTTTGTCTTTGCATGTTAAGATTCAATAGAATTAACACACCTTTTGCTCAAGAGTTACTGGATCATTCCTCAGTTGTGTGTGCCAGACCAGTTTATCTGACAGTTTTTCAGCCATTCATTGCACAGGAATATTGTTGCAAGTTGTGCTTCGCTGAAGTCTTGAAGACTTTTTTTCCCTTTGTCCAGGATTGATACTCAAGTTTAATGTGTATCCTTTCTCCTGCTCTGATTATTCTGGATATAATCATTCTTCATAATGAACACAAAATTATATATGGTAATCAAAACACAAAATGAAAAACACTGAAATGCCCTTGTAAAAACAGCTTTAGGAAGTAATAATTTATATACAATAAGCCATATACATTTAGAATATACAATCTGATAAGTTCTGATACATGTATGCGCCTGTAAAACTACCATGACAATCAAGAGAATACATTTATCACATAGAAAAGTATCTTAGTATTCCTTTGTAATCTCACCCTCATTTTCCTCCTTGAGATTCATCCTTGTTGCATGTATCAGTTATTTTTTAATTGTTGAGTAAAACACAATTTTATGAATATGCCACATTCTGTTTGCCATTTAATTGATGAAATGTGGATTGTTCCCAGTTTGGGGCTGCTATGAATAAAGCTGCTATGAACATTCACATGACAGTCTTTAAATTTAATATACCTTTATTTCTCTTGAGTGAATACCTAAGAGTGGACTACATGGATCATATAATAGATTTATAGATAACTTTTTAAGGCACTGCCAAACAGTTTTCCAAAGTGATTGTACTATTTTAAATTTCTGCCAGTAGCATATGACAGTTGTAGTTATTCCGCATCCATAGGATGGCCATGTTTTAAATTTTAACCATTCTAATGGGTGTGTAGTACTATCTCCATAATGGTTACCGATGTTGCACATCTCTTTACATTCTTGTTTGCTATCAGTATATCTTTTTCGGGGAACTGTCTTTTCAAATATTCTGCTCCTTCCCTTATTTTGATATATTCCCGAAACTGGTTGTTTATCAAACAGTTTAATATACAAAATTAATTGTATTTCTATACACTACCATGATATGAAAATATTTTTTCCCAATATTTGCTTTGCCTTTTCCATCCACTAGCTATTTTTTGAAGACCAGGGTTCTTAATTATTGTGAAGTCCAATTTATTTAGATTTACTTTTATAAATCATGCTTTTGGGGATTGGATGTATCTAAAAAGTATTTGTCTAATTGAAGGTCAAGACTTTCTCCTATGTTTTCTTCTAGGAGTTTTATAATTTTAGGTTTAATGTTTAAATCTATGATGCATTTTCAGTTAATATTTGTGTATGGTGTGAATTATGGCTTAAAGTTAATTTTTACACATATTAATATTCATTTTTTCTAGCACCATTTGTTGAAAAGAATTCTCCACTGACTTGCCTCGTTACACCTTTGCCAAAAGCCAAATCATCATATGTGTGGACTCTGAGTCTAGATGATCTATTCTTCTCCATTGATCTATATATCTATCTTAGCGTCATTAATACACTGTCATGATTAATGTAAATTTTTAGTTTTTTAAGTCAAATAATTTAAACCTCCAATTTTGTTCTTCTTTATCAAAGTTGTTAGATCTAGGTCTTGAGGATTCAAAAAATGAATAAAAAATGGTCACACTGCTTCTTCACAGCTCCTTAGCTTCAAATGTTTTGCCTTCTAAGATCTGGTACCAACCAATTCATTAGCTTTTCCATAGATTATTCCTTTTCACGCACCATACGCTTTAATCAAAGTGGGTCATTCACAGTTCTGCAAATATGTCTCATGCTACTCACCTTCATGTATTTAATCAAATGGTTCTCTCTGCTTGGAATGACCATCTTGTATGATTGGAACATATTTAAGTGTTCTATCAATCCTTATAGGCACATTTAAATAATAATTATGATTATGACTATTATGTCAGATTAATTATGTTATGGTTAAAATTATTTAATTTCATTCTGGTAACAAATCTGAGAAAAAGATATTTTTCCCATTTTACAGATTGGCAAACTGGTGTGCTGGGCAATTTAGTAAATTATCCAAGGCCATGTAATTAGTCAATATCAAAGCTGGGATTTGAGCTCGTGTCAGCCTGGCTCTAAAACCCCATCTTGATCACAGACAGTCCTGTTTTCCTCAGTATGCATCATCAGCACAGTCTCATCTCTAAGGTCAATAGTGTTTTGAAAGCCCTGTGAAAAAGTTTTGGACCCGCAAAAAAACTGTTTCAAAAATTTAATAAATACGAATCAAAGTATACACCTTCAACACAATCCCATTCCTGGGGTTATGTGTCTGTGTGTGTGTGTTTTGAGATATAATTCACATGCCATAAATTCACCCGTTTAAGTGTAAAATCCAGTGGCTTTTAGTATATTGACAGACTTGTGCATCCATCACTACAACCAATTTTAAATCGTTTTAATCACTAAAAAAAAAAAAAAAATCCAAGTTGCTTAATTATTACCCACCTCCGCCTCTATTTCTCCCCAGCCAATCCTAACCATAAATCTATTTTCTACCTCCAGAGATTTTCCTATTCTGGACATTTTGTATAAATGAAATAATACAGCATGTGATCTTTTGCAACTGTCTTTTTTCACTTACTACAAGGGTGTCAAGGTTCATCCATAGTATAGCTTAGATCAGTACTCTTTCTATGTATTGCTTAATATTATTTTATTGTATGGATATAAAATATTTATCCATTAATCAATTAATTGACATTTGGATTGTTTCCACTTTTGGTTACTATGAATAGTAATTTATAAGTTACGTGTCAATACATGTTTCATTTCTCAAGAGTATCTACCTAGGAGTGGAATTACTAGATCACATGGTAACTATGTTTAACCATTTGAGGAGCTGTCAGTTTACAAAGCAGCTACACCATTTTACATTCTCAGCAGCAGTGTATGAAGATTCCAATTTCTTCACATCTCCACCAACACTAGTTATCATCTGACCTATTGATTATAGCCATCTATATGGTTTTGACTTACATTTCCCTGATGACTAATGATGTTGAACATCTTTTCATATACTTAGCCATTGGTATACCTTCTTTGAAAAACTATTCAGTCTTTTTCTGCATTTTTAATTTAGACATTTCCCTTTTAATTGTTGTAATAGTTGTAATATGTAACATATATAGGTCACTTGTCAAATCTATAATTTGCAAAAATCTTCCCCCATTCTGTGGGCTGAATTTTCACTTTTTGATGGACTCTATTGAGGCAAAGAAGTTTTTAATTTTATAAGGACCATTTATATACGTTTTGTTTTGTTTCTTGTGCTTTTTGTATTGTATCTAAGAAATCATTGCCTAATATAAAGTTACAAAGACTCACTCCTACTATTTGTTCTAAGACTTTTATAGTTTTAGCTCTTATATTTAGGTATCTGATCAATTTTGAGCTAATATTTGTATATGGTATGAAGTAAAGGTGTAATTCTATTCTTTGGCATGTAGACATATCCAAACATCATTTGTTTAAAAAACATTTCTCCTCTTAGAACTGTTTTATCACCTTTGTTTAAAACTAGTTGACCACAGATATATAGTTTTCTTTCTAGACTCTCAATTTAATCTCATTAATCTACATGGCTGTATTTATGTCAGCACCACATTGTGTTGGTTATCATTGCCTTGTACTAAGTTTTGAAATTGGTGAAGTGGTTCTATTTTTGTTTTCTTTTTCAAGATTGGTTGTGACGATTTGCCATTACCTGAAATTTCATATGAATTTTAGAATTGGTTTGTCCATTTCTGAAAATATAACAAATGGACATTTAATATGAGTTTCATTGAATCTGAATATCAATTTAGAAAATATTGCCATCTTAATAATATTAAGTTTTCCAATCTATGAACAAGGAATGCATTTGCATTTATTTAGGTTTCCTTCAATTACTTTCAACAATTTCTTATTTAGTTTTCAGTGAACAAGTGTACAGCATACACTTCCATGGTTAAATTTATGCGTAAGCCTTTTTTTCCTTTCGATGCTACTGTAAATGAAGTCGTTTATTTATCCTATTTTCAGATTTTCCATGGTAGTGTATAGAAATACAAATAATTTTTGTATATTAATCTTGCATCTGGTAACCTTGCTGAAGATATTTACTATTTCTTATAGTTTTATTTTCTGGATTTCTTAGAATTTTCAATACACAAAATAATTGCATTTGAAAATAGAGATAGTTTTACTTCTTTCCTTCCAATCTGGATGCCTTTGTTTTCCTGACTAAATGCCTTGGATAGAACTTCTAATTAAATGTTATATAGAAATGGCAAGAACAGACACCCTGTTTTCTTTCCTGATCTTATGGGGAAAGTTTTTAATTTGTCACCATTATGTACAATGTTACTGGTAAGTTCTATTGTAAATGTCCTTTATTAGAGTGAGGAAATTCAATAACTGTTTTATCATGAAACATTTTCTGACTTGGTATATAATCATATACATATGATAAATATATATATGAGATTTATATAAATTTTCTTAAAAATTAAGAAAAGCAAAGAAAACTAATGCCAAAGCAAGCAGAAGGAAGGAAAATGAAGTCCAAAATAAATAAAGGAGATAAGAAGCAAAAAAATTATATATATATATATATATAGAGAGAGAGAGAGAGAGAGAGAGAGAGAAAGAGAGAGTACACTGGATTTATGTTGCTAGTATATGTTGAGGATATTTGTGTTTATATTCATAAGGAATATTGGTCCGCTGTTTACTTTCAATGCCATTGTCTGGTTTTGGAATGAAAAAAACACGGGTTTTATATAATGAGTTGGAAAGTGTTCATTTCTCTCCTTTTTTAAAGAGTTTGTTAAAATTTTGTGATAATTATTCTTTAATCATTTGAAAGAATTCTCTAGTGAAGCCATGCGGTCCTGAGCTTTTCTTTGTAGCAAGTCTTGGTTTTCCCAACTCAGTCTCTTTGCTTGTTACTCCTCTATTTTTATTTTCTGTTTCCTCTTACATCAGTTTTGACAGTGTACTTCTAGGAATGTGTGTATTACATCTATATTATCTAACAAGTTGACATCCAATCCTTCAGAGCGTTACCTTAAAATCCTTTTTATTTCTACAAGATTGATAGTAATGTCTCCTCCTTTCATTATAGATTTTAGTATATTGCATTTTTTTCTTGGTCAGTCTAGCTGTAGGTTGATCAGTTTGGTTGACGTTTACAAAGAGTCGATTTTTTGGTTGTTTTCTAACATTTTGTTTCTTATCACCTTTATTTATTTTGGACTTCATTTTCCTTCCTTCTGCTTGCTTTGGCATTAGTTTTCTTTGCTTTTCTTAATTTTTAAGTTAGAAAGTTGAGTTAATTTGGCTATTTCCCCTTCCATAATACAGGCACTTAGAATTATGAATTTCCCACTAACCACTGCTTTAGCTTAATTTTATTATAAGTTTTGGTAAGTGGGATTTTGTCTTTTATTTATCTCCAGTTATTTTCCTATTTTTTTGTGTATGATTTCTTCGTTGACTCCTTGGTTGTTTAAGGTGGTAGTGTTTAATTTAAACATACTTGTGAATTTTCAAAGTTTCTTTTACTGATTTGTATTCTTTCCATTTGGTTGGAGAAAATATTATGTACTAATTCAATCCTTTTAAATTTATAGATACTTGTTTTATATACAAGTTTAAGATCTACTCTGGAGAATGCTACATGTGCACCTGAGAAGGATGTATAGTCTGTTGCTTTTAGGTGGAGTTTCCTATATATGTATGTTAGGTACATTTTGTTTACACTGTTGTTCAAGACTTCCATTTCCTTTTTGATCTTCCATATTGTTTTATCCTTCGTTGAAAGAAGAAATTACTTTTAAAATACCATCTTTTATCAATACATAATTACCTTTTCCTTTTCCAGTGCTCTTTTATTTCTTCATGTGTACTAGAATTAGTTTTTAGCATCCTTTCATTTCATCTTGAAGTACTTCCTTTAGTATTTATTGTAGTACAGATTTGTTAGTGATAGACTCTGTTTTATTTTTGTGGAAATACTTTAATTTTGCCTTTATTTTAGAATAACAATTTTGTTAGATACAGAATTCTTGCTTTATAATTTTTCTTTCAGCACTTGTGAATATGTCATCCCATTATTTCCTGACCTCCCTTGTTTCTAAAAAGAAAATGGATTTTATTCTTATTGCAGATCACTTGTACACAATGAATTGCTTTCTTCTTGCTCCTTTCAAGTTTCTCTCTTTGTATTTTGGTTTTGACAGTTCGATTATGGTACGTCTAGGTGGTGTTCTTTTTGGGTTTATACTGCTTGGAGTATTTGAACTTCTTGAATATAAAGATAAATGTTTTTTGTCAAATTTTGGAAGTTTTCAGTCATTATTTCTTCCAATTATCTTTCTGTTGCTTGCTCTTTTTCATATCCTGGAACTGCCATATGCATACATTGGTATGATTGATGGTATCCCACATTACTCTGAGGCTCTGAATTATTTTTTTGAATTTCTTTTCTGAAACTAGATAATCTCCACTGAGCTATCTTCAAGCTTCTAATTCATTCTGCTGCCGGATAGAAATTTATTTTGAGCTTATTAGTAAATTTTTTACTACATTTATTATACTTCTCACCTCCAGAATTTGTATGTGGCTCTTTAATAAAACAGTATCTGCCTTTTTATCAATATTCTATATTTTGCAGAGATAACATTCTCAAGTTTTCTTTTAGTAATTTACATATGGTTGCATGTAGTTATTTTAACATATGTAAAATGACTGATTCAATATCTTTGTCTAGAAAGTCCAATGTCTTAGCTTCCACGGGAACATTTTTTATTGATTGTTCTTTCCCTTATTAGTTCCCATATGTTTTGTTTCTTTGCATGTCTTAGAGTTTTAATAAAAACTAGATATATTAAATAATGTAAATGGAAACTTTGGAACATATAATTCACATACAAAATGAAATATCTAAATGTAATGCTAACAAAATATGTATTTATTTATATATATATATGAGGAAACTAAAAACTTTAATCAAAGAAATGAAACAAAATCTTAAATAGAGAGACATTTAATGTACACATATAAGGACATAGCAAGGTGTTAGATCATCCCAACCTGACTGATAGATTCAATCAGATTCAATACTAATTAACACCGCAGTCAGTAATTTTGTGGACATTTATAAACACATTTTATAGTTTTTATAGAAAGTCAAAACATCCAGAATTGCCAACAAAATACTGAAGTATAAGACACTACTAGATTTCAAGACTTGCTGTAAAGCCACAAGAATGAGAACAGTATGGTATAGGGAAAAGATTAGACAAGCCAATAAAAAATAGCCCAGAAATAGATCCACACAAATGTAGTCAACTGATATTTCACAAAGGGTCACAGTAAATTTAGTGGAGAAAATTCAGTCATTTCAACAAATGGTGCTGTAATAACTGGACATTCACACACACACACATACACACACAAATAAATATAGACACAGACTTCACACCTTACACACAAATTAACTTGAAAAACATCATGTGTAAATATAAAACGCAAAACTATACAACTTCTAGAAGGTAACATAGGGGAAAATCTAGATAACCTTGGGCTTGATATGATAAGTTCATCTCCATCAAAATAACCAAGTTCTATCCTGCAAAAGACACTGTTCAAAGATGAAACAACAAGCAACAGATTGCAAAAGTTATTTTCAAAGCATGTATCTAGTAAGGACTGCTATCCAACTTATAAAGGGAATTTTAAAAACTCAGTAAAACAGGCTGGGCACTGTGGCTCATGCCTATAATCCCAGCACTTTAGGAGGCCAAAGTGGGTAGATCACTTGAGGTCTTGAGTTTGAGAGCAGCTTTAACAACGTGTCAAAACCCCGCATCTAGAAAAAAAAATAGAAAAATTAGCTAGGCATGGTGGTGCACACCTGTAGTCCCAGCTACTAGGGAGGCTGAGGTGGGAACATTGTTTGAATCTGGTGAGCAGAGGTTGCAATGAGCTGAGATCATGCCACTCCACTCAAGCCTGGGCAACAGAGTGAGACTGTCTAAAAATAAATGAATACATAAATAGATCTCAATAAAATATACAACTAGATTTAAAAATGGCAAAGATTTATATACGTCAACAAAGAAAATATGCAGATGGCTAATAAGCATATACAAAGTTGTTTAACATCCTATATTTGTAGGAAAATGCAAATTAAAACAAATAAGATACCGCTCTATACCTATTAGAATGGAAAAAACCCCAAATACTGAGAACATCAAATGCTGGTGAAAATTTTGAGCAACAGAGGAACTCTTTGCCCTTGCTTGTGGAAAGGCAAATAGTACAGCTCCTTTGGAAGAAAGTTTGGCAGTGTATTTACATGGTTTTCCAGAGAAAAAGAAACAATTGTGTGTGTGTGTGTGTGTGTGTGTGTGTGTGTGTGTGTGTGTATATATATATAAATAGGGAGAGAGAGAGAGAGAGAAAGAGAGATTTATTATAAGGAATTAGCTCACACAGATATTGAAGGTTGACAATTCCAAAGATATGGAGTCAGTAAGCTGGAAACCCAGGAGAACCAATGGTATAGTTCCAGTTCAAACCCTGGCAGGCCTGAAGGAAGAGGCAATTTTTCAGTTCCTGTCTGAGGGTGTAAAAAATAAACAATGTCCCACCTCAAAGGCATTCAGGCAGGAGAAGTTCCCATATTTTTTAGTTCATTCAAACTACTGTAAAAATACCATAAACTAGGTGCTTATAAAAATGAATATTTATTTTTGCTTAGTTTTAGAGACTGAAAACTCAGAGATCCAGGTGCCAAAAGATTTTATGTCTGTTAAGGGCCTGTTCCTCATGGTGGTGCCTTTTTGCTGTGGCTTCACATAGTGGAAGGGGTAAGCAAGCTTTCCTGGGTCTCTATTATAAGGGCACTAATTTCATTCATAATGGCTCCACCCTCATAATACAACCGCCTCCCAAAGTCACCCCACCCTTAAAATGATCACATTGAGGGTTAGGATTTCAACATATGAATTTTGGGGGAACACAAGCATTCTGACCATAGCACCTGTTATTCAGTCTTTTTGTTCTATTCAGGCCTTGAACTAAATAGATGAGGCCCATCAACATTAGGGAGGACAATCTACTTTACTCAGTCTACCAATTAAAATGTTAGTTTTATTCAGAAACACTCTCACAAACAAATGCATAATGTTTGACTATGTGGGTAACCCATGGCCCAATCTAGTTGACACATAAAATTAACCATTATAGGCAATTTCTTACAAAACTAAACACACTCTTGTCATACAATCCAGTCCTTGGTATTTTTCTAACTAAATTGAAAGCTGATTTCTATGCAAACACCCACACACTAATGTATATAGCAGGTTTATTTATAATTGCTAAAACTTGAAAGCAACCAAAACGTCCTTTAATTGGTGAATGGTGCTTAGAAATAGCGCAGGGGTGGAAAACCAAGAGGGTTGACTAAATGAAGCCAGGAAGAGCATATCCCACTGACTAAATAGACCATCACAAAGATGGGCACACTCTGAGCAGATCTTCAGAAGGAGAGCATTGAGAGTAGACAGAGGGAAGATGCAGACCCTGGGATGAAGAGGAAGAAACTAGGAGCCCTGCACAAGGCTGAAAAGCATTAGGACTCATTTCTGGCCTACAGCAGATCTGGGGGAAAAGGTGAGTTAAATAGGCAAAGGGTAGGATAAGTAGATGAAGAGTGGCCCGCTCTCTCCATGGACCTCTTAAATCCTAGCTGCAGGAGAACACATGACTCCCATACACATTTGAACTGACATGGAGAGCTGCTTAGAGAGGTGGCAGGGACAAGACTCCAGCCTGTGCAGAGCCCAGAGAAGTTGATGCACGAAACACAGCCAGAGAGGTCCACCCATGAAGGCTCACCAGGTTCCTTTAGGTGGCTTTTTCCATTGTTGAATGTCAGACCTAGACAAAGAAGGGCCAGTCTGATCTGAGTGCCGCCTTGCCTACCCGCTACTACTAGAGCCTGTGCCTACTTTGCAGTACAGCCTCAGATGCCCAAATAAGGCCCATCTTGATGGCTGCCACCATATCCTCTTCACCATCAGACCCTGCCTGCACAAAAGAGAGCTTAAGAAGATAGGCTTCCACTGATGCACACCAATCTGCAGTATACCCCAACCACATTGCCAGTGTGCACTTTATCCATAGCCACCCTCACCACTTGGCTAGCATGTACTCATCTTCAGCCTCCTGCACTGCTTTACCGGCATGTGCACACATGCAGAACTTGCCACCCCACTGCCACCAGGAAACATGCACACAGAACTTCCTGTGGCCCTGTTCCAGCTGGCATCCATGCACATGCACCCTGCCATCCAGCCCCCCATGGTGCAAGCATGCACTCATGGACCCAGTCACCCTGCTTCTATAAGAAAACTATTATAACAGATACAAACTTACTAATGCTGCATGACACAAATGGACATACAAAAATCAGTAACGTTTCTGTATGCCAACAGTGAACAATACGAAAAGGAAATTTAAAAAGTAATCCCATTTATAACAGCCACACATACAATTAAATAGTAATTAACTTAACCAAAGAAGTGAAAGGTCTCTGTAATGAAAGCTATAAAACACTGATGAAAGAAATTGAAGGGGACACCATAAAATGAAGATATTTCATGTTCATGGCATGGAAGAAAGAAACAATATTGTTAAAATATCCATACTACCCAAAGCAATCTACAGAGTAAATGAAATTTCTATCAAAATACCAATGACATTCTTCACAGAAATAGAACAAAGCAATCCTAAAATTCATAAGGAATCATGAAAGAACCAAATAGCCGAAGCTATTCTAAGCAAAAAGAATAAAACTGAAAGAATTACATTACCTGACTTCAAATTATATGACAGAGCTATAGTAACCAAAACAGCATAATACTGGCAGAAAAACAGGCACATAGAAATGAAACATTGGAGAAAATTTCCAGGACATTGTCTCGGCCAAACTTTCTTCATTAATTCCTCACAAGCATAGGCACCCAAAGCAAAAATGGACAAATAGGATCACATTAAGGTTAAAAGCTTCTGCACAGCAAAGAAAACAATCAATAAGGTGAAGAGACAACACAGAATAGGAAAAAATGTTTACAAACTACCAGTCTGACAAAGCATTAATAAGCAGAATATACAAGAAGCTCAAACAACTCTACAGGAAAGAAATCTAATACTCTGACCAAAAATTGTCAAAAGATTTGAATAGACATTTCTCAAAAGAAGGCATACAAATGGCAAACAGACATATGAAAAGGTGCTTGACATGATTTATTATCAGAGAAATTCAAATCAAAACTACAATGAGATATCATATCACCGCAGTTCAAATAACTTGTATCCAAATGACAGTCAATAACAAATGCAGGGGAGGATGTGGAGAAAAGGGAACCCTCATACACTGTTAGTAGGAATATAAATTCATGCAACCACTATGAGAACAGTTTGGAGGTTTCTCAAAAAAGTAAAGTAAAGCTACCATCTAATCTAGCAATCTTGCTGCTGGATATATAACTAAAAGAAAGGAAATAAGTATGTCAAAGAGATATCTGCTCTTCCATGTTTCTTGCAGATGTGTTCACAAAAACCAAGATTTGAAAGCAATCTAAATGTCCATTAACAGACGAATGGATGAAGAAAATGTACTTATACACAATGGAGTACTATTCATTCAAAAAGAATGAGATTCAGTCCTTTGCAACAACACGGATGGAACTGGCGATCATTTTGTCAAGTGAAATAAAACAGGCAGAGAAAGACAAACATTGCATATTCTCACTCATTTGTGAGCTCTAAACATCAAAATAGTTGAATTCTTGGAGATAGAGTAGAAGGATGGTTACCAGAGGCTGAAAAGGGTAGTGTTGGGGGTGGGGAGGAGTTGGGGATGGTTAATGTTTACGAAAAAAAAAAATAGAATGACTGAATTATTTCCAGTATTTGATAGCACAACAGGGTGACTATAGTCAATAATACTTTAATGCTACATTTAAAAATAACTAAAAGTTTTTAATTTGATTTTGTAACACAAAGGAAACATGCTTGAGGGGATGGATATCCCATTTTCCATGATGTGATTATTACACATTGAATGCCTGTATTGAAATATCACATGTACCTCTTAAATATATACAACTACTATGTACACACAACGATATGTTTAAAAGGCTAATAATTTAAAGAAAGAAGAATGGATACATGTTTTTTATATTGCTATCAGTTTATTTTTTTTTCCAGTTGATTGTTTGGTCATCACAACTTGTTGATGAGAATAAATCTACTTTGAAGTGGGTTCTCCAACTCAGATAAAGATAGCTTTGGAAGATTGCCTTTCTGTGGGCCACCAGATAAGTCAAATAATAATTCTCCAGGAATGAGGCTTTAGTGTAACTCCAAACCTGTTCTGTCCCCTCCAGTGGCTGCCAGGCTGCTGCTTTTTTAGCATGACTGTTAGCTATTGGTTTTCATTGTCATCATGGAGCTGGAGAGAGAACAAAGAAAACAGGATAAGTTAAAAGACCACATAGACTGCTGTTCTTACTGAGATTAACTTTTTTATTTTCTTGAGTAAATGCTTCCCAAAATTTTGCACGTTCTTGGTTTATGTGTGGTGTTCTCAAAATGTTAATTCTGAAATTTTAATTTATTTTCTCAGTGCTTTTATGGAAGAGAGAATTTGGGAAGTTTTACTCTGCCATTTTCACTGACATCATCTCCTGAAATGCCTTTTGAATCCTGAAAGAATAAAAAATAAATTATCATTAAAATATTTTTAACACTTTTGGTTAGAAAATCCTCAACCACAAATATCTAATTAATCAGAAAGTAATAAATTGTCAGTCATAACTCCAAAGTAGTTTCTAAGCCTTAAAGTTAATTATTCTTGGTACTATTGTAAGTTTGTGTTACCAATCACTTCCATGAGCAACCTCCTTCTGAATTCTAGCCAACTGAGACAGGACAGATGGAGCCAGAAGAGGATCAACCTATCACTTTTATTATTCTGGAAAAAGAGTGTTAGAGAATGTCTTTAGGCCTGAGACCAAATGTCTCACAACCACCTACAAAGAGTATGCGAAGCAGTTACATGAAAGGTCATTACCCACCTGACAAACCCCAGTCACCCAATGACAGAATACATTGACTTTTCAATATTGTATTAATCCATTTTCACGCTGCTATGAAGAAATACCCAAGACTCGGTAATTTATAAAGAAAAAGAGGTTTAATGGACTCACAGATCCACATGGCCGGGGAGGCCTCATAATCATAGTGGAAGATGAAGGAGAAGCAAAGGCACGTCTTACGTGTTGGCAGGCAAGAGAGCATGTGCAGGGGATCTGCCCATTGTAACACCATCAGATCTCATGAGACTTATTCACTATCATGAGAACAGCATGGGAAAAACCCAACCCCACAATTCAATTATCCCCCACCAGGTCCCTCCCATGACACATGGGATTATGGGAGCTACAATAGAAGATGAGATTCGGGTGGAGACGCAGCCAAACCATATCATTTGCCCCTCATCCCTCCCAAATCTCATATCCTAACATTTTAAAATATGATCATGCCTTCCCGACAGTCCCCCAAAGTCTTAATTCATTTCATCATTAACTCTAAAGTCCATAGTCCAAAGTCTCATCTGAGACAAGGCAAGTCCCTTCAGCCTACGAGCCTGTGAAATCAACAGCAAGTTACTTACTTCCTAGATACAATGGGGGTTAAATTACAGACATTGGGTAAATACATCAGTTTGAAATGGGAGAAATTGGCCAAAACAAAGGGGCTACAGTCTCCAAGCAAGTCCAAAATCCAATAGGGCACTCATTAAACCTTCAAGTTTCAAAATGATATCCTTTGACTCCATGTCTCACATCCAGGTCACGCTGATGCAAGAGGTGGGCTCCTATGGCCTTGGGCAGCTCTGCCCCTGTGGCTTTGCAGGGTATACCCCTCATACCAGCTGCTTTCACTGGCTGGCATTGAGTATCTGCAGCTTTTCAAGGTGCATGGTGCAAGCTGTCGGTGGATATACCATTCTGAGGTCTGGAGGACGGTGGTTCTCTTTTCACAGCTCCATTAAGAGGTGCCCCAGTGGGGACTCTATGTGGGGGCTTCAGCCCCACATTTCCCTTCTGCACTGCCCTAGCAGAGGTTCTCCATGAGAGCTTCACCCCTGCAGCAGACTTTTGCCTGGACATCCAGGCATTTCCATACATCCTCTGAAATCTAGGCAGAGGTTCCCAAACCTCAATTCTTGATTTCTGTGCATGTGCAGGCTCCACACCACATGGAAGATGCCAAAGCTTGGGCTTGCATTCTCTGAAACCACAGCCTGAGGTGTACCTTGGCTCCTTTTAGTCATGGCTGTAGCAGCTGGGATTCAGGGCAATAAGTCCCTAGGCTGCATACAGCAGGGGGACCCTGGATCTGGCTTAGGAAACCATTTTTCCATCCTAGGCCTGCGGGACTGTAATGGGAGGGGTTGTTGCTAAGGTCTCTGGCATGCCCTGGATACATTTTCCCCATTGTCATGGTGATTAACATTCGGCTCCTGGTTACTTACGCAAATTTCTGTAGCAGGCTTCAATTTCTCCCCAGGAAATGAGTTTTTCTTTTCTATCGTATGGTCAGGTTGCAAATCTTCCAAACTTTTGTGCTCTGCTTCCTCTTGAATGTTTTGCCACTTAGTAATTTCTGCCCTAAATCTTCTCTCTCAAAGTTTCACACATCTCTAGGGCAGGAACAAAATGCCATCAGTCTGTCTGCTAAAGCATAGCAAGAGTCACTTCTGCTCTAGTTCCCAACAAGGTCCTCATCTCCATCTGAACCACCTCAGACTGGACTTTATTGTCCATATCACTATCACCATTTTGGTCAAAGCCATTCAACAACTGTCTAGGAAGTACCAAACTCTCCCATATCTTCTTGTCTTCTGAGCCTTCCAAGTCACTAGGAAGTTCCAAACTTTCCCACATTTTTCTATATTGTTCTGTGCCTTCCAGAGTTTTCCAACCTCTGCTTGTTACCCAGTTCCAAAATTGTTTCCACATTTTTAGGTATCTTAATAGCAGTACCCTACTCTATCAGTACCAATTTACTGTATTAGTCCATTTTCATATTGCTATGAATAAATACCTGAGAGTGGGTAATTTATTTAAAAAGAAGAGATTTAATGGACTCACAGTTTCACATGGCTAGAGAGCCTCACAATCACAGCAGAAGATGAAGGAGGAGCAAAGGCATGTCTTACATGGTGGCAGGCAAGAAAGCATGTTCAGGTGAACTGCCCTTTATAAAACTATCAGATCTTGTGAGACCTATTCATTATCACTAGAACAGCGCAGGAAAAATCCACCCCCATGATTCAATTACTTCCCACTGGGTAACTCCCATGACACATGGGGATTATGAGAGCTACAATTCAAGGTGAGATTCGGGTGGAGACACAACCAAACCATATCAAATATAGATCCTGTTTTTTGAGTGGTATGGTCCAATACGTGTCTCTGTCCTAGGTTGCTAAAGCTTCTTCTCTTGCCATAGGGAGGAGTAAGTTAGCAAGAGAGAAGAATGAAAGTTTTCACTACGGTACTGATCTCTCTTGTGGAATTAAGCACAAGTCCTCTCCCCTCTCTGAAATTTTTAGGGCATGGTAGTAAGTGTCCTTCTCCAACTCTTGCATTTATATCTCTAAATAGGTAACTGGTGAACAAAATACCCTATTTAAATTAGGAGAAATTTGGAAATTCAAACCATTGCAAAGAAAAGTCCATGCCATTTGAAAACAAAGAGAAACTTGAGCTTTTGCCACAATAACATCATTTCTCTCATTATTCCATAAAAATTGTATGAATCTTTGGAAACCATTTAGATTACATAATTTTCTTTCAATTTTTTTATTATTTGATTCATTCAAGTATTCATTGAGTAGCCATATTTTCCTAAGTTTTATATTTTGCTCAGGAACATAAATATAGACAAAATAGTCTTTAAGTTAAAATGCTTGCAGTATACTTCAGAATACAAGAGAAAATGAGAGAGCATTGAACTACTTAAGGAGCTGTACTTCCTTCTCAATGAGTACTGAGAACTACACAAAAATTGGTTTTGTGGGCACAAAGTTGCTGATGGTCCCACTCTTGTAGAAGGGTTGCAGATTCGAAAGTTGAATTTGCTTAGACTTTAAAAAGTCGAAGTGTCTTTTTTTTTCTTTTTAAAGAATGGAAACATTGAAATTGAAAACACTGAAACTTAAGTAATTAATTTAGGTATAATTTCCCTCTCTATTCCAAGTTAAATACAGCATGTTTCCCACTTTCTTTTGGGACATGATAGTACTGTTAGGCAACTGGCATTTTCCAGATTCTAAATATGTAAGTTTCTGCCAAGATTGAAAGGAGACAGTTTCACTCTCACATTCTGTTTGCCAGCTGTTTGGATCTGGAGACTTTTAAAATGCCAAATACATGTCTGTATGCCAAAGATATTTTCCTTTGTAGAATTGAGAGGAAAGTGCCATGAACTACATATCAAAGTAAGAATAAATAAAGAAACATAAATAAAAAGAGTTAGTGTATTTCTGTATGTGTGTTGGGGTGGGAAGTGTGATGGTAGAAAGTATTCAGGAAGCCATGCTAAAATTCTCATTCAGTGGCTTTGTTTTCTAAAATAATAAATCTGTTGTTGAATTTCCTGTTTCTGACTGATAATTATTAGAAAAAAAATTTATATGGGATTATTTTCCAATTTAACTTTCTTGGCGCCATTCCTTCATGCGGAAAGCATCCTTGAGATAAACATACACACCTGTGATAAAACAATAGCTGTTAATTAAAAACTTAATAAATAGATTCAAATGGACATTGGTTCCAGGAAGGCAATTGTCCATGAACTACTTGGTTCCAACAAAAGCTTTTTGGAATTATCCTGCAATTCTTTGCAGTGAAGGAGAGAGAAAGAATTCCTCTTGGTTGAAATGAAATATTGTATGTGTGTGTGGTGTGAATGTTTGCTGTAAAATTATATTAAATAAAACTTCTTTAAAATAGAATTGTAAAGATATTGACTTCAGGAAACAATTAAACTGCACCAGAAAGTATGAAATATCAAAAGCAGATACAGGAATCTTTTGTGAACTAAAATATTTCCTGGCAACCGAATAGAAAAATTTTGCTTTATCGCTGCCACTGACTCAATAATATTAATGCTCTTTTCTGACTGTCCCACATAGTGGACATAATTTATTCTTAGCCACCTTACATTGTCCCCTCTTTTGTTAACAGCAGGCTAATGTTTCCACGGCCATTCAACTATCTCTTTTATATAGTGTATTAGTTAAGTGTTAATTTTGTTTCGACACTACCTGGGTTCAAATCCTTGCTTTACTACTTCACAACTATGTAACTGTAGGTGAGTTACTTAACTACTCTGTTTATCGGTTTTCTCCTCCATAAAATAATAATATTTTCTCACCCTCCGTAGGATTGTAATAAGGATTAAATTACTTAATATCTATAAAGCATGTAGAAGCGTGTTTAGCACATAGTGCCAATTTAACATTAGGTATTATTGTTGGTTTCATTTTTTTGGTTTGGTGGGGCTAGTCTTACCTCTCTAGATTGAAATGTATCACAAGAAATAGATCCAGGCAATATACATATTTCGTCTTTCTGGCACAATGATTGGAACAGGGATAAGCATATGATTTCAAGTTCATGCAATCAGAACAAATTATGTAATGTCTACTTGAATTACTGGAAAGAGAAAATTATCTTTTCATGGGGTCTCCTGAGCTAGTACAATTTAAGTTTGGAGATTCCGGGAGCCATGTTATTCTGTAGAAATAGTCTGCTTGAGAGTGAAGGTAGCACAGGGAACAGGACAGCCTTGAGCTGGAGAGATAAATTCTTCATTACATTGTTTGAGAACTTGAGTCTAGCATTTTCTGAACCCAGATATTCCTGAACTTTACCATTGCATAACCAGATCTGTCACTTAGAAGCGAAAAAGTTCTGATTACTATGGATTTTTCATCCTTCACTTATCCAGGATTTTCACTATGTCTGTGAGCAGCAAAAGCCTTAGCTGTCAAGCTCCAATGGCTATGGAAGTATGTGGTCCAGTCCAAAAAATTGAGGACATACATAGGATTGATGATATTTTCAAGAAATCAATTGACCAAAATCTGAGCCTGAACTAAATTTTGCTAAGATTCTGAAGTGGATAATATGCATCTTAATATTCATGTATATTTCCATATTTAATTTTAATATGTTAACAAAAAATTACCCTGGAAGAATTACTCCTGAGTAGAAAAGTATACACAGGGTGGTGGACTTTATTTATTGGACTGGAATGTTTAAAATGCCAACCAATCTTGAGGTAAAGTGATTGCCTACATCTGATATGAGTTTACTCAATTTTTTCTGCTCTTAATAATTTTCTTTATCTATAGGATAAGGAAATGTCCTCCAGGTAGAAAGATATGCCCAGGGAAGGTCTTAGAACAGTCGTCCTTAACTTTGACTGTGCTTCAGAATCATCTGTGTTGCTTTTAAAAATGCATATTCCTGAAACCCACTCCTCTAATTTCAGTATATCTAAAGTAGGACCCAAGCAACGACCTTTTAGCAATATTCCCAGGAGATGCTGCTGAAAACTTTTGCTATAACAAAATGATAGGTCTGAGGGTGGAGTGAGTTATAAGCTCTACTATTAGGAACAAAAGAGGAAAACAGGAATGCAGTGGTGCGTTCTCTGCACTCTAACCACATTTCCTTCATTAACTTCAGTTATATTTGTGCTTTTCTTAGCCAGTTGTTATTTAAAAAGTAGATAGTATACTAATGCTAAAGTGTAACTTTGATAAAAAAACAAAGTTCTTCTCAGGGTATTTGTCTATTAACACAGAATATTCCTTTAAAAGTAATGATTCTGATATCAAACTTTTAGTATAGTATGAATAAATGAACTTTCAGGCAGACAGGCCCTTTTTGAGCCCTTCAAAACTCTTACATGAGGCTAAGCTTTTCCTCCATATTTTCTCATTCTGTAGTTAAATATGTATTTTTTTCACATCTTAAGTGAGGCACTTAAAAGATTTTTTAAATTATAAAGGAAGATATGATAATTTAGAAATGATTCAAGGATCAAGAACAGAGACTGTTGGCTTTTCTAAATATAGATTTTGGGAAATTTTCCAGATGTTCTTCAACTTTGGTTTTCATTGCATTGATTCAAGTGAAACAACATCTGTTATGGTGCAGCATATTTCTTAGTTGATGTGTTTCCTGTCCTTTACTTTGAATTCAATTCATTTTCAAAGTTATTTATCTGGTAATATTTTACATGAATTTATTTGAAACAACCCTAAAAATATCAGATACATTTTTTAGCATAAAGTGAAAATTTACAAGTTATAATATCATGATTTTGTTTTATTTATTTAGTAGGTGAAATATTAAGGAAAAACTCATTTTCAAACATCTAAAACTTTTTTAAATTATATTCTTACATAAAGGAATACTTCTGAAAAAATATTTGGCATAATTTTATCTTCGGTTTTAACATTAGACTATATGTTCTATGCCAGGGGTCAGTAAAGGAATAGCTATAGCCCAAATCTGGCCTACCACCTATTTTGGTATTTTACTTTTGAATGGACCACCATCACACCTATTCCTGTACATATTGTCTATGACTGGCTTCACCCTCCAACAGCAGAGTTGAGTAGTTGTGAGAGAGACCTTACTGCCTGCAAGGCCTAAGATGTTTACTTTCTGGCCTTTTGCAGACAAAGTTTACAATGACCCCTGCTCCAAGTAAACAAAGTAACTGAGATAATTATGAGGGAAAATTTACTCAGGAAAAGTTGAATCAGAATACTGAGTAAATAGTATATTGATTTTATCATCCAAGTAATAAACATCCTATTCCATTTGTCTCAGTAAACATGGTGTTAAATATAGTCTTCCTTGTTAAAAACTGCATTAAAAAGCATGATTATTGTTTCCTAGTATTATGAAAAAATCATAGAGATCAAGAGCTCAGTCTTCAAGTCACTTAACCATTAAGTAGGAGAATTGGAATTTGACTGTAGTCCAATTTAGCTTCAGAGCCAGAACATTCAACCACTATGCTACACTAAATTTAAAGTTCCTTAACTTTATAAGAAGCCTTTTAACTGCAGCCTCAGAGTTAATATAGTTTACCCTTCCCACCAAAGGGCTTCCAAGCGTGAAGTATAACACCAGGGGTTTTTCACTAAAATATACCAGGGTTAAAGTTCTCACTAATTTTTTGTGATAAGTGGAAGTCAGATCAAACACTGGAAAAATAGCAGAGAAAAATTAGGCAATCTATTTTCTCTAATATAGCTGGTACTTTAGAGAGAATGTATAAACAGTAAGTTGAAAAATAAGTAAAATTTGTAGTAATAAGATGTTAAGGAAGAAATAAATGAAGGAGTGAGATAATGTGTGTGTATGAGTGTGTGTGTTTGTAGGGGGTGAAATTATATATAAGGTGGCATAACAGTTCCCATTACACGTTTTCGAGTCTTACCATTTCAATACACTCTAGCTTGACTTCCAACTAATAGCATCTGCATCTCATTGCGAAATGAATTATCCCTCTCACATAAATACGAAGCAGCCCCTCTCTCTCTTGAGTGAGATAAACTATGAGGGACACGTTCTATACTGGTCCTCAGAGTTCTCCAGAGGAATTAAGCTCCAATTGCTTGTAGTAATAAGTTGCTTAATAAAGAACATGTTGTATTTACTGCTGTCTCCTCTCTGTCTCAGTTCTTTATTCTACATACGCTTCCTGAGATCAGCATCCAAATAAATTACTTACATTTTGTATCTTGTTTCTAAGTCTGCTTCTGGGGAATGTAAACTAAAAATATTGTGCAGAAAAGAGAGTGATATTCCTCTAGAAAGTACTTGTTTAAAATGTGTATAACTTTTATGTGTTTATTTTTTTGTTTTCAGCTTTATTGAGATATAATTTACAAATAGGAATTTTACATATTTAACATGTACAACTTGATGTTTTGATATATGTATACACTAAAATAATCACAATCAGACCAATTAACATATCTGTAACCTCAAATAGTTACCATTTTCTTTTTTTTTTAATTGTGAGGACATTCAACATACACCCATATACCCTTTTAGCAAATTTCAAGTATATAATACATTATTGTTAACTGTAGTCACCGTTCTGTATATTTGATTTTCAGAACTTACTTATCTTGCCTAACTGGAACTTTGTACCCTTTTGACCAATATTTCCCCATTTTTCCCTTTTCCCTCCCCAGCCCTGTTCCTGGCAAATGTTATTCAAGTCTCTGTGAGTTTTATTTTAGATTTCACATATATATAAGATGCAGTCTTTTTCTTTCTGTGTCTGGCTTATTTCACTCAGCATACCATCTTCTAGGTTTATCCATGTGGTTTCAACTATTAGCACATATTTACTTTTAAAAATTAATAACAGTGTATTCCGTTCATGGAAATACTCTATATATTTTATCCATTCATCCACTGACGGACATTTGTTTCTGTATCTTGGCTATTGTAAATAATGCTGTAATTAACACGAGATCTGAAAAGGGATTACTATCCAAAATATATAAGGAACTCATGCAACTTAATAGCAAGAAACAAAAGCTCAATTTTAAAATGTGCCAAGAACTTGAATACATATTTTTCCAATAAGACACAAATGCCCCAGGTGCTCAACATCATTAATCACCAGGGAAATACAAATCAAAACCACTATGAAATGTCACCTCACCTGTTAGAATGGATATTATTTTTTTTTTAAAAAAAGAAAAGATGTGTTAGTAAAGATGTGGAGAAATGGGAATGCTTATACATTGTTGATAGAAATGTAAATTAGTACAGCCATTACTGAAAATAGTATGAAAGTTTCTCAAAAAATTAAAAATACAATTGCTATATAATCCAGCAACCCACTTCTAGGTATATATTTTAAAAAATGAAATCAGTATGTCAAAGAGATATCTGTACTCTCATGTTCATTGTAGCATTATTTAAAAATGTGTGTAACTTTTAATCTTCCATATCTAGTTACAGAAATTTCTTATTTTTGTACATGCCCAAATATTTTACAGTGTTATCAGTAATGTGTAGAGTTAACAAAACTCTCATTTTGACACTGAGAATAAAAAAATTTTAAATATTTTTAAATTTTAGAAAAGAAAGTTATTTTATAAATTTGTTACAATTTGCATTTCTCTTATTACCATGAGGATTGAAATTTTTTGTTCTTTTAGCCACTCATTTGTCTTTTCTTGTTTCCCCAGTCATATACTTTCTACATTTTTCTATTTGGGTGATAAAATTTTATTTTTTAAATTAATTTGTAAAAACTATATGTATACTAAAATTATTAGATCTTCGTTGTACATGCCACAGATGTTAGAATCACTCTAAATTGCCCTTTGTATTTGTGCAACTAATGACTACCTTTTTTGATATCAGATCTGTCAATCTCTTACTTTGTTTTGACTTTAGCATTAAATTCAAAATGTTCTACACTAACTAGGATTATATAAAGTGACATGTCTGTGAGTGTATATGTGTTTCCAGTAACTTTATTATTTTGGCTTTTATACATTTAAAATACAAAGCAGAGATATGACTTTTTTTCCTGAAATGGTTGCCAATATACCCTAGCTTAACTTATTCAATAATCTACAGCTTACATTTTGATATCAATTCATTTGAGTAATGTTAGGAAGAGTGCTAGTAAGGCCAAACTCAGATTCTGATCATTTATTATGGGTCAGGTAACATCATACTAATTCTTCAGGAATATAGATTAGAGTCTCCAACAGATGTTCACAAATGTTCGCTATTGAATATGTGGGGGATTGAATATGAGTAGAAGAGAGAATATGGATGAACTTAAATTCATTACCATTATTCTGTCCTACTAGTAATAGAAAAGTAGTCTTACCTATTCCCTGATAGAGTATTTTTCTGTTATTTGCAGACATTTTCTATCTTTATGTTAATATAGCAAGGATCATGTTAAAGCATATTTCTTGTACAAACTAGAAGACGATATTTACTAAACTGTCAACAATTTTATCAATTATAATTTTTATTAGGAAAAGCTGAGTAATGCCAATTGTCCTAAAATTAATTTTCTTCAGCAGTGAATAGCTCAATGTTCTAATTCCAGTTAAGCAAGTATTTGGTTAGTAAAATTCTGCAGTATATTAAGAGAGTAAATATTTCAAGTAGATAACAGCTATTCTGACATTGTTGTACTTTGAAATTATTCTCAGCTTTTCTCTTATCCGAATTAAAAGACTTTAATTAGTATGGTTTATTATCTCATTTGTTAAGTTAGGATAATCTGTTTTCTCAGTTATTGGGGCCAGAAGTCAGTTGGATACTACAGGAAAAATGGCTTTTTAAACAGTTTAAATATTACAGAATTTTGATTGGTATTTCAATATCATTAACAAATTTTGCTATGTCTCAGACAAAATGGTAGAATCTTTTGTTTATACTACTTACTAATATTAGAGCATTACAGGTACTATCAAAAGGAGCATAGTAAGAGTTTAAAAATATGATTTTTAAAAATTTTTCTGTAATTTCTAGTTAAGAACTAGAAGGTAAAATGTTTACATTTGCATTCTATTTTCCTACAATATTACAATATATCCAGACCACAACCAGGACCAATGAGCCTCTTACCTTCAAGAGATATGTTATTTGACTTTCAAATTCGAATTAAAAAGAAAAATACATTTGGAAACCCAAATGTTTTCATATGCAAAATGATTACAGTTGTCTTCTAATTATTGACAATCTAGTGGATACAAAATCCAAACAATTCTCAATAGTTGAGAGGGGGAGGGGAGGAGACTGGAGAGAATTATATATATATATATGTATATATATCTTATTTTATATATATATATATATATAAAATCTCTCTCTCTCTCTAAACTCTAGTCCAGTTTAGAAATACAGCTTTTAATGAAGTTAAATCTCAATTAAGCCATGTCTCCAACTGTTTGCCTGTGGTACAATGTGAAATTGGTTGCAGAATCTCAAGCTGTGGAGGCTGATTGCTTATTTCACATGTTAGGAGGTCAGACAACAAAGAGAGGACAGAAAACAAAAATAGGAAACAGAAGTTCTTCATAATAACTATTAATAATAATAATAATAAACACTGAAGGCTTTTCCAACTACCATACTAATCTTCTCTTGATGTAAAGGGCTTGTAAGCAAAGAAGGATGTTGTTCAAATGCAATTTGCAAGTTATCTTTCCCACAATGAAAGGTTTATTTTATCTTTATTTTACAAATATGACTTTTCTACGCTTATTAAATTTTTTATTAAATGTTTTTAACAATATCAGAACAGTATTTCTTCAAGATTGAAACAGAAAGTAATCGAATACTTGAACAAATCAATAACAATTTCCAAATTTAATCAGTAATTAAAAACCTACCAACCGAAAAAAAGCCCTGGACCAGATACATTCAGAGAAAAATTCTAGAAGACATATGAAGAAGACCAATCCTACTGAAACTCTTCCAAAAAATTGAGGAGTAAAGACTCCTCTCTAATATATTCTAGGAGGCCAGCATCATTCTGATGTCAAAACCTGAGGGAGACACACACACAAAAAAACCACTTCAGGCTAATACCCCTGTTGAATAGAGATCCAAAGATCTTCAGCAAAATACTAGCAAATCAGCTGGACTTGATGGACACACCTGTAATCCCAGCACTTTGGGAGGTCGAGATGGGCAGATCACTTGAGGTCAGTAGTTCGAGACCAGCCTGGCCGACATAGCAAATAACCATCTCTACAGGAAATACAAAAATTAGCCAGGTGTAGTTTCAGGCACCTGTAATCCTAGCTACTTGGGAGGCTGAGGCAAGAAAATAGCTTGAACCCAGGAGGCGAAGGTTGCAGTGAGCCGAGATCATGCCACTGCACTCCAGCCTGGGCAATCCAGTAAGCCTCTATCAAAATAAATAAATAAATAAAATAAATTAAATTAAAAAAACCCCAGCAAATCAAGCCCAGCAGCACATGAAAAAGCTTATACGCAAATCAATAAATATAATTCATCACATAAACAGAACTAAAACAAACAAAAAACACGTGATTATCTACATAGATGCACAAAAGGCTTTCAATAAAATTCAACATCCCTTCATGTTAAAAACCCTTAACAGACCAGGCATCAAAGGGAGATACTGTAAAAATAATAAGAGCCATCTATAAAAAACTCATAGCCAACATCACACCGAAAGAGCTAAAGATGGAAGCATCCCCCTTGAGAATCGGAAGAAGACAAGAATGCCCACTTTCATCACTCCTATTCAACATAGCGTTGGAAGTCCTAGCCAGAGCAATCAGGCAAGAGAAAGAAATAAAAGGCAGCCAAATAGGAAGACAGAAAGTCAAACTAATTCTCTTCACAGATGATATGATTCTATACTTAGAAAAGCCCTTAGTCTCTGCCCACAGACTCCTGGAATAGATAAACAACTTCAGTAAAATTTCAGGATACAAAATCAAAGTGCAAAATCAGTTGTAATTCTGTATAACAACAATGTCCAGGTTGAGTGGGAAATTAAGAACACAATTCCACTCACAATAGCACCACAAAGAATAAAATACCTAGGAATACAGCTAACCAAGTAGGTGAAGATCTTCACAATAAGAATTACAAAACACCAAAACATTGCTGAAAGAAATTAGAGATGATGCAATAAAATGGAAAAACATCCCGTGCTCATGGATAGGAAGAATCAATGTTGTTAAATGGACATATTGTCCAAAGAAATTTACAGATTCAATGGTATTCGTAGCAAACTATGAACATCATTCTCTACAGAATTTGAAAAAAAAAATCGATTTGAAAATTCATATACAGCCAAAAAGAGCCCACAGAGCCAAAGCAGTCCTAAGTAAAAAGAACAAAGCTGGAAGCATCACATTATCTGACTTAAAACTATACTACAGCCCTCTCCCTCTCCCGCTCCCACTCCCACTCCCCTTTGCACCGTCTCCCCCTGATGCCGAGCGGAGGCTGGACTGTACTGCCACCATCTTGACTCACTGCAACCTCCCTGCCTGATTCTCCTGCCTCAGCCTGCCGAGTGCCTGGGATTGCAGGCACGCGCCTCCACGCCTCACTGGTTTTTGTATTTTTTGGTGGAGACGGGGTTTCACCATGTTGGCCGGGCTGGTTTCCAGCTCCTGACCGCGAGTGATCTGCCAGCCTCGGCCTCCCGAGGTGCCGGGATTGCAGACAGAGTCTCGCTCACTCATTGTAGATGGTGCTCAATGTTGCCCAGGCTGGAGTGCAGTGGCGTGATCTCGGCTCGCTACAACCTCCACCTCCCAGCCGCCTGCCTTGGCCTCCCAAAGTGCCGAGATTGCAGCCTCTGCCCGGCCGCCACCCTGTCTAGGAAGTGAGGAACGTCTCTGCCTGGCCGCCCATTGTCTGGGAAGTGAGGAGCTCCTCTTCCCGGCCGTCATCCTGTCTAGGAAGTGAGGAGCGTCTCTGCCCAGCCGCCCATCGTCTGGGATGTGGGGAGCGCCTCTGCCCCGCCGCGACCCTGTCTGGGAACTGAAGAGTGTTTCTGCCCCACCGCCACCCCGTCTGGGAGGTGAGGAGCGTCTCTGACCAGCCGCCCCGACTGAGTAGTGAGGAGCCCCTCCGTCCAGCAGCCGCCCCATCCGGGAAGTGAGGAGCCCCTCCGCCTGGCAGCCGCCCCGTCCGGGAGGTGGGGGCTGCCCCGTCTGGGAAGTGAGGAGCCCCTCTGCCCGGCCACCACCCCGTCTGGGAGGTGTACCCAACAGCTCATTGAGAGTGGGCCATGATGATGATGGCGGTCTTGTCCAGTAGAAAGGGGGGAAATGTGGGGAAAGGAAAGGGAGATCAGATTGTTACTGTGTCTGTGTAGAAAGAAGTAGACATAGGAGACTCCATTTTGTTCTGTACTAAGAAAAATTCTTCTGCCTTGGGATGCTGTTGATCTATAACCTTACCCCCAACCCCCTGCTCTCTGAAACATGTGCTGTGTCCACTAAGGGTTAAATGGATTAAGGGCAGTGCAAGATGTGCTTTGTTAAATAGACGCTTGAAGGCAGCATACTCGTTAAGAGTCATCACCACTCCCTAATCACAAGTTCCCAGGGACACAAACACTGCGGAAGGTGGCAGGGCCCTCTGCCTAGGAAAACCAGAGACCTTTGTTCACATGTTTATCTGCTGACCTTCCCTCCACTATTCTCCTATGACCCTGCCAAATCCCCCTCTCTGAGAAACACCCAAGAATGATCAATAAATACTAAAAAAATTTAAAAAAAAAATAATAAATAAATAAATAAATAAAGTAAAAAAAAAACTATACTACAATTCTACCATAAAGAAAACAGCATGCTACTGGTACAAAAGTAGACACATAGACCAATGGAACAGATTAGAGAGCTCGGAAATAAAGCTGCATAACTACAACTATCAAATCTTCAACAAAGTTGAAAATAAGCATTTGGAAAAGGACTACATATTTAATAAATGCTGCTCAATAGCCATATGCAGAAAATTTATACTGCACTTCCTTTCACCATGTACAAAAATCAACTAAAGATGAATGAAAGACTTAAGTCTAAAACCTAAAACTATTATATAGAAACCCTAGCGGAAAACCTAGGAAATACCATTCTGGACATAGGCCTTGGAAAATATATTTTTACAAAGACCAAAAAAAAAAAAAATCAAATAGTGGGACCTAATTAAACTATAAAGCTTCTGCACAGCAAAATAAATTATCAACAGAGTTAACAGACAACCTACAGAGTGGGAGAAAAATACTTGCAACCTATGCATTCAACAAAGGTCTAATATCCAGAATCTGTAAGTAATTTATATAAATCAACAAGAAACAACCAACCCACCCCAGTAAAATGGGCAAAGGATATTAACAGACACTTCTGAAAAGAAGAAACGCACATGGCCAGCAAGCATATGAAAAAATACTCAACAGTATTAATCATTAGAGAAATGCAAATCAAAACCATAATGTGATGCCATCTCACACCAGTCAGAATGGCTATTGTTAAAAAGTAAAAAAAAAAAATAACAGATGTTGATAAGGTTACAGATAAAAGGAAATACTTATACAGTGCTGGTGAGGATATAAATTACTTTAGCCACTGTGGAAAGCAATTTGGAGATTTCTCAAATAACTTAAAACAAAACTGTTTGACTCAGAGATCCTATTACTGGCCATGTATCTAAAAGAATATAAATTATTCTACCATAGAGACACTTGCACACATATGTTAACTGCAGCATTTTTCAGAATAGCAAAGACATGGACTCAACCCAGATGCCCACAAACAGTAGGCTATATAAGGAACATGTGATACACATATACTGTGGAATACTATGCAGACATAAAAATGAAATTATGTCCTTTGCAATGACAGGAATCAATTTGGAGGCCATTACCCGAAGTGAATTAATAAAGGAGCAGAAAGCCAAGTATTTCATGTTCTCACTTATTTGTGGGTGCTAAAGATTGAGTGCATGTAGATAGAAAGATGTATACTATAGACACCAGGACTTACTTAATGGTGAAGTGGGGGAGAAGGGTGAGGTTCATAAAACTGCCTATTGGGTACTATGCTTACTACTTGGGTGATGAAATCTTTTGTACACCAAACCCCAATGACACGCAATTTACTCATGTAACAAACCTACACTTGTACCCTCTGAACCTAAAATTAAAGTTTGAATTTAAAATTTTACAACTAACATCGTACTCAATGATGAGAAATTACAGAATTTCCAGCCAGGTGCGGTGGTTCACACCTGTAATCCCAGCAATTTGTGAGGCTGAGGAAGGTGGATCACTTGAAATCAGGAGTTCAAGACCAGCATGGCCAACATGGTGAAACCCCATCTCTACTGAAAATACAAAAAATAAAAATTAGCTGGGTGTAGTGGTGTGCACCTGTAATCCCAGTTACTCAGGAGGCTGAGATAGGAGAATCACCTGAACCCAGGAGGTGGAGCTTGCAGTGAGCTGAGATCGTGCCACTGCACTCCAGCCTGGATGACAGAGTGAGACTCTGTCTCCAAAAAAAAAAAAAAAAAAAAAATTACAAAATTTCCTGCCAACATTAGAAGCAAAACAAGGATATTCCCTTTCACCACCCCTTCTCAACATCATACTGGAATTTCTAGCTAACGCAATAAGACAAGAAAAGGAAATAACATATATACAGACAAAAAGGAAGAAATAAAACTGTCTTTCTTCACATATACCATAATTGTGTATGTGGAAATCAGGAAGTATTGCCTAAAAAATTTTTGAAAACGTATGTTTTTTAATTTATGTGTTTTAATTTATGTTGTTTAATTTATTTGTTTTAATTTATGTGTTTGTACATTTTCCCTCTTAGTCTTTCTTCATAGTTATTTTCTCTAGTAGTATATTTTGATGCCTTGCTTCATATTGTTAATCTATCATAGGTTTTTGCCTTGTGATTATCGTGAGGCTTACATAAAACACTTAATAGTTATAACAAGTTATTTTTTCTGATAACAATATATCTTTAATTGAAAAAAACTCTATAATTCCACTCTCCTTCCACATTTTGAATATGAAATGTCATAATTTACTACTTTTTATATTGCATATTCCTTAGCAATTTATAATGTTATTATTTTAATAGTTTTTATTGTAACTTTTATATTAAAGACTTAAGTGATTTACACAACAATATTAAAGTATTAGAATATTCCAAATTTTACTAAATACTCACTTTCAACAGTGAGTTGTATACTTACAAATGTTTTCCTCTTACTTACTAGTATCCTTTTCTTTCAGCTTGAAGAAGTCCCTTTAGCATTTCTTGTAAGACTAGTCAGGTGGTGATAAATTCCCCCAGCTTTTGTTTGTTTGGGAATATCTTGATCCATCCTTCATTTCTGCAGGACAGTTTTGTGGGTCAAAATATTTTTGGTTGGAAACTTCTTTTTTTTTTTCCTTCGGTACTTACTTTGAATATGTCATCTCACTTTCTTCTGGCCTATAAGGTTTCTGCTGAGAAGTCTGTTGCAATGTGTATTGGTACTCCTATGTTATTTGCTTATTTTCTCTTTCTGTTTACCAGACCTTCTCTTTGTCTTTCATCTTTGACACATTGATTATATGTCCTGGAGTAGTCTTATTTGAATGGAATCTGAATGAAGATATTTGATTGTCCTATACTTAGATATTTATATGTTTCCATAGCTTTGGAAAGTTTTCTGCTATTATTTTTTAAACAAACATTCTACTCCTTTATCTTTCCCTACTCCCTCTTGATCACCATGACTCACACGTTTGCTCTTCTAACGTTGTCCCATAAGTCTCCTACGCTTTCTTTATTCCTTCCAATTTTTTTCTTTTTCTCCTCTGATAGTACATTTTCAAATAACTGATATTTGAGTTCACAGATGTTTTGTCCTGCTTGATCAATTCATTGTTGATGCTATCTATCGCATATTTTATTTTGTTCATTGCATTTTTTCAGCCCTATGATTTCTGTTTCATTTATTATTTCAATTTTTTTAATTCTCTGATAAATTTCTGAATTATTCTCTGTATTTATTTGAATTTCTCCGCACTTCCTGAAGTAATTATTTTGAATTATTTCTCAGACTGTTCATACATGTTTATCTCTTTATTGGCAGTTACTGGCACCTTATTTTATCCATTTGGTGGTGTCATGTTTTTGTTCTTGATCCTTGTGCTTTTGCAGCCATATCTGTGCACTGAAGAAGTAAGGATTTACTTTAGTCTTTGCAGTCTGGCTTTGTTTAGGAACGTTCATCAACAGAAAGCCTTTCAAGATATTGTGGGAAAATAATCTGGTGTGATCTCCAAAGCCATAATCACTGCAGCTATTGCAAGCCCATGGGGAATCTTAAACCTCAGGTCAACACAGCTAGTTTATCTCAGGCTACAATTGTTGTCAGCTAGTTTCTTTAGTGTGTTGCCTTCATTGGCAGAAATGTAGAGCAGCAACCAAAATCTGAGGTCTAGTTTATGTAAGCCATACTACATTTTTTTGCTCCTAAGTAACTCAAGGTGGTCCAGCCCTGCTGACACTCCCACTGTTTCCTGTAAGATGAGAGAGGAGTAAGTCTCTAGTGTGGAATCCCAGAATCATGGGGAAGCTAAATGCCTGCCTTTGATTTACTTATAACACTGTAGAAACCATAGGTCCAGAGGAATTCTCTGTGCATGGCCCTGTGCTAGCTTGGGGAGGGGGAGTATGGTCAAAGAGAACCATTTGTCTTACCATTTGATCATAGATTTTCTTGGTTCCGTAGTCCAAGGGAGTGTATCAGCCTCAACCCCAAGTTCTGGGATATTCAGGTTAGTATTGTTACCTTTAGATAGTTGCTAGTTGGGTTTCTGTGTAGGTAGGGAGTGGAAGCTGTACAATTCCTAATCTGCCATTTTGCTGATGTCACTCTGCATGCTTCTTTAGATTATATTTGCCTAGTATCATGTTACACATCCTATTTTTCAGCTGTTATCATGTTTTAAATTTTGTTTATTGTAATCTACATATTTCCTTTTATGCAAATATGATATTATTTTTCTTTCAATTGAAATATTTTATCTGTTTATATTAAATTTTGATAAGAAATTTCCATAATTCATTTTATATTTTATATATATATATATCTTTTTAGATCTTACAGCAGTATAATTCTGTTTACCCTTACCATGTTTTGTGGTATTGTCATAGATTCTGCTTTTGCCTATTTTCTAAATCCCGCAATACATCAAAATATTTGTTTAAACAGTAAAATGTTTGTCTTTTGCACTTTTGTCAGATTTATGGAGGCATAATTTACACACAGTAAAATTCACCTTTTTATTGTGTACTCTTTGATGTTCTGACAAACCTACACAATAATGTAATCACCATAACAATCAGAAAGCACTATTATGTCCATGTTAAATCAGTTCCTCCCCCCACTCCCATGCCCCTGAAAACAACTGGTCTAATTTTTGTTCCTATAGTATTACCTTTTCCAGAGTATCCAATAAATGCAGCTGCTATGGTCTGAATGTGTTCCCTATAATGTATATGTTGAAATTCCCCCAAGGCAACTGTAATAGAACATTTTAGGTTTTTGTTGACAGTTGATTAGGTCATGAGAGCAGAGCCTTATGAATAAAATTAGTGCCCTTATTAAAGAGGTCCTGGAGAATGACCCTGGCTTTTACATCATGTGAAGACACAGTAAGAAGGTGCCATCTCTGATCCAGATGAGGTCTCATCAGACATCAAATCTGTCAGTGCCTTGACCTTGAAATCTCAGCCACCAAAACTGTGATAATAAATTTCTGTTATTTATAAGCCACCGGGCCTGTCATATTTTGTCATAGAAGCTCAAGTGAACCAAGTTAGCAGCCATACTGTATTAGTCCATTTTCACACTGCTGTAAAGAACTACCTGAGACTGGGTAATTTATAAAGAAAAGAGATTTAGTTGACTCACAGTTCCACATGGCTGGGGAAGTTTCTGGAAACTTACAATTATGGTAGCAGGCAAAGGGGAAGCAAAAAATGCATTACATGGTGGCAGGTCAAAAGCAAGTTAGTTAGTTAGTTACTTCCTAACTAACTTGCTTTTGATTTTACAGGCTCATAAGCATCAGAGACTTGCCTTGTCTCAGATGAGATTTTGGACGTGGAGTTTTGGCTTAATGCTGAAATGAGTTAAGACTTTGGGGGTCGTTTGGGAAGGCATGATTGTGTTTTGAAATGTGAGCACATGAGATCTGAGAGAGGCCAGGGGCAGAATGATATGGTTTGGCTGTGTGCACACCCAAAATCTCATCTTGGATTGTAATCCCCATAATCCTTATGTATCAAGGGAGGAACCAGGTGGAGGTAATTGAATCATGGGTATGATTTCCCTCATCCTGTTCTCATGATAGTGAGTGATTTCTCATGAGATCTGATGTTTTTATAAGTGCTTGGTAGTTCCTCCTGCATTCATTCTTCTTCTTGCCACCTTGTAAAGAAGGTGCCTTGCTTCCCCTTCACCTTCCACCATGATTGCAAATTTCTTGAGGCCTCCCCAGCCATGTGGAGCTGTGAGTCAATTAAACTTCTTTCCTTTATAAATTACCCAGTCTTGGACAGTTCTTTATTACAGTGTGAAAACAGACTAATACACTAACAAATATTTGCAACTCAGAATATTAAAGAGTTCTTCCTGTTTTTACTATAAAATGTTTTATAGCTTTGGATTTTATGTTTATCCTATAATCTATTTTTAGTTAATTTATTAATGGTTCCACATAAAAATTAAGGTATTTTAAAAATATGTATGTTAACTATTCCATCAACAATTGTTTTATTTAATATTTTTGGCACTTTTTGAATTTATTATTTTATTGGCACAGTTCAACTGTTCATATTTATAGGGTAAAATTTGATTATTATAAACACACACACTCATAGTATACTGATCTAATCAGATTACATAGAGTATACATCACCTTATGCATGTATCATTTCTTTGTGATGAGAATATTCAAAGCCAATTTTCTAGCTATTTTGTGCTATGCAATATGTCAATGTTGACTGTCATTATCCTTTTGTACAATAAAACAACAGAATTATTTCTACTATTTAATGTTATTTTGTACCTGTTGACAAACTTCTCCCCATTCTCTATTCTTCTCCCCTTTCTTCTCCCCGGTTTCTGGAAATTAATATTCTACTCTCAGCTTCTATGATACCTACATTTTTTTAGATTACAGATATGAGTGAGTCCATGTGGTCCTTGTCTTTCTGTGTCTGGCTTATTTTCCTTAACATGATGTCCTTCAGGCCCACACATGTGGTGACGGATGGCAAAATTTTATTATTTTTCAATAGCTGAACATAATTCCATTGTGTATATATGCCATATTTTCTTTATTAGTACATTATTGGAGAAATTGGTTGATTTCACATCTTGGCTATCAGAAATAGTACTTCAATGAATACAGGAATGCAGGTATCTCTTCAAAATACCAATTTGATTTCCTTTGGGTATATACACAATAGTGGAATTACTGGATCACACAGAAGTTCTACTTACATTTTTGAAAAAATTCATATTTTTCCCATAATCGCTGTAATAATTTATGATCCTACCAAAAATGTGTAGGTTTTTTTTCCACATCCTCACCAGCACTTGTTTTCTATTGTCTTTTTAGTAATAGCCATTCTAACTAGCCTCCAAAATGTGAGAAAATATTTCCAAATTATCATCAGTCTATCAAAAGATTAATAACCAGAATATATAAGAAACTCAAATTACTCAATAGCAAATTATATTATTATTATTAAAAAATGGACAAAAGACCTACAAATGAGGAAGACATACAAATGGCCAGCAATAACATAAAATAAAAATGCTCAATATCACTAATTATCAGAGAAATGCAAATTAAAACCACAATAATGTACCATCTTATACCACTCAGAATGGCTATTACTAAAAAGTCAAAAACAAAAGATATTGTTGAGAATGCAGAGAAGAGGGATCACTTATATAATGTCAGTGACAATGTAAATTGCTCTATAGAAAACAGATTTCTCAAAAAACTAAATTTAGAACTGGCTTTTTTTCCCAGAAGTTCCATTGCTGAGTATCTACTCCCCAAAAGGAAGTTATTTTATCAAAATGACACCTGCATTCTTATGTTTATTGCAACACTGTTCTCAATAGCCAAGTCATACAATCAACCTAACTGTCCATTAGTGGATGACTGAATGACATACATGTGGTCTGTGTGTGTATATATATATTATATATATATATTATATATATATTATATATATATAATATATATATTATATATATATTATATATAATATATATATATAATATATATTATATATAATATATATATAATATATAATATATATATAATATATATATAATATATATATAATATATATAATATATATAATATATATATATAATATATATATAATATATATAATATATATAATATATATGTAATATATATAATATATATATAATATATATAATATATATGTAATATATATAATATATATATAATATATATATATAATATATATATACACACACAGACCACATGTATGTCATTCAGTCATCCATACATATATATATAATATATATAATATATATAATATATATGTAATATATATATAATATATATATAATATATAATATATATGTAATATATATATAATATATATATTATATATATAATATATATATAATATATATATTATATATATATATAGAAAGAGAGAGAGAGAGAGAGACAGAGACAGAGAGGGATAGAGAGATAAATATATATATTTATATAAATATAATGGAATACTACTCAGCCATAACAAGAATATACTCATGTTTTTTGCAACAACATGGATGGAACTATTGGCTATTATCCTAAATAAAATGACTTAGAAATAGGAAGTCAAAAACTTCACATTCTCACTTATACGTGGGAGCTAAACAATGTGTGCATGTAGACACACTGAGTAGAATAACAGACATTGGAGACTCCAAAAGTGGGATGGTGGAAGGGGATAAAATACTACCTATTTGGTATTTGGTACAACATACACTATTTGGTTGATGGGTACACCAAAAGCCCACACTTCATCACTATGCAATATTTCAATGTAGCATAACTGCACTTGTACCCCTAAATCTATAAAAATAAAAATAAAAATAAAAGAAATTGTTTAGCCCAATGCCTTAAAGTGTCCCCTTAAGTTTTCTTCTACTAGTTTTATAGTGTCAGTTTTATGTTTACATCTTTAAACCATTTTGAGTAGATTTTTATATATGGTGAGATGCAGGAATATGCTCACATTCCTCTGCATGAGGCTCTTCCATTTTCCCAGAACCATTTCTTGAAGAGACTGGCTTTTCCCCAATATGTGTCCTTAAAACATTTGTCAAATAAATATCAGTTGGCTGTAGGTGTGAATTTATTTATTCACTGTCTATTCTGTTCCATTTGTCTGTGTGTCAATTTTTTGGTTCAGGATTGCTTTGGGTATTTCAGAATCTTTTATGCTTCCATGGGAATTTAAGGATTTTTTTTTTCTATTTTTATTAAGAATGTTACTGGTATTTTGATAGAGATTCTATTAAATTTGCAGAATGCTTTGGACAGTATGGCCATTTCAATAATATTAATTCTTTCAATCCATGAGCATAGGAAACCTTGCCATTTGTTTGTGTCTTCAATTTCTTTCATCAATATTTTACAGTTTTCAATGTAGAGATCTTTTGCCTCCTTTGTTACATTTATTTGGGTGTTTCTTGTTTTTTTGTATCTACTAGTAATTGAATTGTTCAATTGATTTTTTCAGATAGTTTGCCATTAATGTATAGAAATGATACTAATTTTTGTATGTTGGTTTTGTATCCTGCAACTTTACTGAATTTGTTTATTATTTCAAACAGCTTTTTGGTGCATTCTTTATTATTTTCTATATTATATATAATATATATATATATTATATATATATCTATGAACAGAGATAACTTAACTTAGACTTTTCTAATTAGGATGCCTTTCATTTTTTCTCTTGCCTACTCGTTATGCCTAGAACTTTCAATACTATGTTGAAAAAGAATGATGAAAGGTGGTATCCCTGTCTTGTTCCTGATCTTAAAGAAAAAGTTTTCAGCTGTTCCTCATTCAGTATGTCAGCTTTGGGGCTGTTATATGTGCCCTTTATTATGTTGAGGTACATACCTTCTATACCTATTTTTTGAGAGTTTTTAATATAAAAAGAGTGAAAGTTTTGTCAAGTCATTTCTTCATGTCTATTGAATTGATCACATGGTTTTTGCCTTTCTTTTTGTTAATGTGGTGTATATCTTTTATTTATTTTCATATGTTGAATCATCCTTGTATTCCAAAGATGAAGCCCACTTAATTATAGTGGATAATATTTTTAACATGCAGTTTAATTCTGCTTGTTAGTATTTAGTTGAGGATTTTTGCATGTATGTACATCAAAGATATCGGCCTATTTGTTACACTACTGAATGGTTTTGGAATGAGGGTAATGTTGGCCAAATGAATGAGTTTGGAAGTAATTGTTCCTCTTCTGGAATAATTTGTCTAGAATTGGTATTATATCTTCTCTACGTGTTTGCTAAAATTTAGCAGTTAAGCCATATTGATGTGGGCTCTTGTTTAAAGACTTATTATTACTGATTCAATTTTCTCACTCTTCCTCACTCATCATTTTTAATTTCCATTTTTATCATAGATACAAGTGGCACATGTGTAGGTTTGTTACATGAGAATATTGCATGGTGCTTAGATAGGAGTACAGATCTCATCACACAGGTAGTGAACCTAGCACTCAATAGGTAGTTTTTCAACTCATTCCCCTCCTTCCCTCTGCTCTCTCCTGTCCCCCCTATAGTGTCTATTGTTCTCATATTTATGTCCATGTCTGCTCAATGTTTAGCTTTCATTTATGAGTGAGAGCATGCAACGTTTGTTTTTCTGTTCCTGTATTAATTAGCTAAGGATTATGTTTCCCATTTCACCAGTGTTGCTGAAAAGAACAGGATTTTATTCTTTTTTATGGCTCTGCAGTATTCCATGCTGTATACTTACCACTTCTTTTTTTTTAATACAATTTACCATTAATGGGCACCTTGGTGGATTTCATTTCTTTGCTATTCTAAATAGTGCAGCAATAAACATATAAGTAAATGTGTCTTTTTGGTAGAAAAATTTATTTTCCTTAGGGTATATACCCAGTAATGCTCCTGCTGGGTTGGATGGTAGTTCTGCTTTAAGTTCCTTGATAAATCTCCAGACAGCTTTCCATAGTGGCTGAACTAATGTACATTCCCACCAACAGTATATACGTGTTCCCTTTTCTCTACAGGCTCACCAGCATCTGTTGTTGTTTGACTTTTTAATAATAACTATTCTAACTGCTGTGAGGTGGTAACTCATTGTGGTTTTGGTTCGCATTTCCCTTATGATTAAGGATGCTGAGCATTTTTTCATGTTTGTTGACTATATGTATGTCTTCTTTTAAGAAGTGTCTGCTCATGTCCTTTGTCCATTTTTAATGGGGTTTTTTTTTTCCTTATTGATTTAAGTTACCTGTAGATTTTGGATATTAGACCTTTGTTGGATGCATAGTTTGCAAATACTTTCTCCTATTCTGTAGGTTGCCTGTTTACTCTGTTGATAGTTTAATTTGCTGTGCAGAAGCTCTTTAGCTTAGTTCCTACTTCACTATTTTTGTTTGCACTGCAACGAGCAATGAATGGAAAGTTCCAACTACCAAATTATGGTGTCTGGACACCATATCTGGGCATTAATGATGCTCAATAAACAGAAAATTATTGTTATAACTTCAAACCCTATACAAAGATGGTAGGCTTCTATTTTTCCGGGAACTTTTCATTTTGTATCCTGAAACTTTGCTTAAGTCATTTATCAGTTCTCAGAGCCTTTTGGCAGTGACTCTAAGATTTTCCAAGTATAAAATCATATTATCAGCAAAGAGAGGTAGTTTGATTTCTCTTTTTCTTCTATTTGGATGCCCTTCCTTTCTTTATCTTGCCTGATTGCTTTGGCTAGAATTGCCAGTAGTATATTGAAAAGGAATGGTGAGAGTGGTCATCCTTGTCTTGTTCCGTTTCTCAAGGGGAATAGTTTGAACTTTAGCCCATTCACTATGATGTTGGCTGTGAGTTTGTCATGGATGGTTCTTCATATTTTGAGGTATGATCCTTGGATGCCTAGTTTGCTGATGATTTTTATAATGAAAAAATAGTGGATTTTATCAGATCTTTTACTTTTTCTGCATCCACTGAGATGATCATATAATTTTTGCATTTAATTCTTTTATGTGGCAAATCACATTTATTGATTTGTTTATGTTGAACCAGGCTCACATCCTAGGAATAAAATCTTGTTAATTATGAGTTATTGACTTTTTGACTGCCTCTTGATTTGGTTATCTAGTATTTTTTTGAGGAATTTTGCAATTATTTTCAGCAACTATATTGGCCTGAAGTTTTCTTTTTTCATTGTGTCTCTGCCAGATTTTTGTATCGGGCAGATGCTGGCTTCATAGAATGAATTAGGAAGGAGCCCCTCTTCCTCAATTTTTCAGAATAGTTTCAGTAGAATTGATATCAGTTGTTTTCTGTACATCTGATATAATTTGGCTTAAATTCATCTGATTCAGTGCTTTGTTTTTGTTGTTGTTGTTGTTGTTGTTGTTGTTTTGTTTTTTGGGTCAGTTCTTTATTACTGATTCAATTTCAGAAGTTGATATTGGCCTTTTCAGGGTTTCAAACTCTTTCTGATTCAATCTTGACAGATTATATCCTTCCAGAAATTTATCCATTTACTCTAAATTTTCTGGTTTGTGTGCATAGAGTTGTTCATAGTAGTCTCTGAGGATCTTTTGTATTTCTGTGGGATCAGTTGTAATATTCCCTTTGTCATTTCTGATTATGGTTATGTGAATCTTCTCTTTCTTTTCTTTGTATATCTAGTTAACATTCTGTCGATCTTATTTCTTTAGAAAAGAAATAACTCTTGGTTTCATTGATCTTTTGTATAAATTTTTACATCTCAATTTCATTAAGTTATTCTCTAACTTTAGTTATTTCTTTTTCTCTATTTTGGTTTTTGTAGATTTCTATTTTGCTTAGGTGCAAAGTTAGAGTGTTAATTTGAGGTCTTTCTAACTTCTTGATGAAGGTACTTAGGGCAATAAACTTTTCTGTTAAATTAACACTGCTTTGGCTGCATCCCAGAGATATTGTTAAGTTGTGTCCCATTATCACTAATTTCAATGAGGTTTTTTTAAATTCTGCCTTAATTTTGATGTTCACCAAGGAGTTATGCAGGAGTAAATTATCTACTTTCCAAATAGGTGTACAGTTTTGAGCGATCTCCTTGATATTGCTTTCAGTGTCTCTTGCACTGTGGTCCGAGAATATGCTTGTTATGATTTCAGATTTTTTTTAATTTCTTGAGACTTGCTTTATGACTGAACATGTAGTAAATATTAGAATATATTATGTGTGCAGATGGGAAAAATGTATATTATGTGGTCATTGGATGGAATGTTCTGTAGATGGCTATTAGGTCCTCTGTGTTGAGTGTTGACTTTAAATCTAGAGTTTTTTGGTTAGTTTTCTGCCTTGATGATCTATCTAGTGCCGTCAATGGAGTGTTGAGGTGTTCCACGGTTTTGTCTGATTGTCTAAATCTTTACATAGGCCTAGAATAACTTGTTTTATGAATATTGGTGCTCCAATGTGGGTTGCATATATATTTAGAATGGTTAAGACTTCTTGTTGTATTGTGCCCTGTATCACTATGTACCTCCCTTCATTGTCTTTCTTAATTTTTATCGGCTTAAAGTCTGTTTTATGTAAGATAAGAATAGCAATTCCTTCCCATTTGTGTTTTCCATTTGCATGGTAAATTTTACCCTGATGCTGTAAGTGTTATTGCATGTGAGGTGGATCTCTTGAAGACAACAGATGTTTGGGTCTTATCCTTTTGTCCTGCTGGCCACTCTGTGTCTTTTAAGTGGATGTTTATCCCATTCACATTCAAGGTTAGTATTGCTATGTGTTATTTTGATCCTGTCATCCTGTTGTTAGCTGTTTGTTAGGTAGACTTGATTGCATAGTTGCTTTATAGTGGCTGTGGGTTATGTGCTTAACTGTGTTGTTGTGGTATCAGGTGGAATTCTTTTGATTCCTTAAGGACCTCTTATAATGCTGGTCTAGTTGAAATATGTTCCCTCAGCATTTGATTGTCTGAGAAGGATTTTATTTATCCTTCAGTTATGAAGCTTAGTTCTGTGGGATATAAAATTCTTGGTTGCAGTTTCTTTTCTTTAAGGATGCTGAAATTAGGCTCTCAATTTCTTCTGATTTTAAGGTTTCTGCTGAGAGTTCTGCTGCTAGCCTGATGGGATTCCCTCTGTAAGTAACCTGCCACTTCTCTCTAGCTGCCTTTAAGACTTTTTTTTCTTTTTTTTTTTTTGCATTTATCTCTGTGAGTGTGATGAGTATGTACCTTGGAGGTGGTCATTTTGTATAGTAGCTGGCTGGGGTTCTCTGTGTTCCTTGTATTTGCATGTCAACATCTCCAACCATATTAAGAACACTTTCATAAACTATATCCTCAAATATACTTTGCAAGTTGCTTATTCTCTCTCTCTCTGAGGAATGCCAATCAGTCATGTATTTGGTCTCTTTATATAATCTCATATTACTTGGAGGTTTTGTTCATTTTTTCCTTCATTTTGTTTTTTTTTTTTGTTTTAGTTTTGTCGCACTGAGTTGATTCAAAGAACCAGTGTTTGAACTCTGAGATTACTTCCTTAGCTTGGTCTATTCTGCTGTTAATACTTCCAATTGTGTTATGAAATTCTTGTGGTGACTTTTTTTTCTTTTACTTCAAGAACTTCAGTTTGGGTATTTCTTAAAATGACTATTTCATCTGTCAGTTCTTAAATCAGTTCACTGGACTGCTTGGCTTCCTTAGATTCAGTTTCAACTTTCTCCTGTATCTCAATCAGCTTACTTGTCATCCAGTTCTGATTTACATGTCTGTCATTTCAGATATTTCAAACTAGTAAATCACCATTGCAGGGAAGCTGATGGGCTTTTTGGGGGATAAGGAAATACTCTGGCTTTTTGAATTGTCAGACTTCTTGCATTCTTTTTCATATGGGAGAATTTTCTTTATAACTGTGGTGTAAATTGAGTATATTCAGTTGGCTTCATTTATGGAAGTTTTCAGAGGGCTAAGGCTCTGCACTAGGATTTGTTGTTAAGTTATTGCCCTTGATTTCACAGAGGGAAAGAATTAGCAGTGTTTTTTAGTGTTAAAGCTTAGGCTGTAATCCAGTAGACAACAGTTGAGAGCAATGGATGGCCGATAGGCTCTTACTCAGCCTTGTAGCTTCTTTGTGTACTCTTTCATTTGCATCTGTGCTCTGTGGTGCTAGGTGGAGAGATAATCCCCTACACCAGTTTCACTCTTGGGCCTTGGGGGAGCCATCTTCAATCACTGGCGCTGTGCTCTCAATTTTTTTCTTCACTTTTGGGTAGGTGTTTTGGGCCATAGGGCTCCCTCAGGCAAAGGTACAGTAGGGAAATAGGCCACATCCTTACTTACTCTACCAGCCCTGTAGAGGGAGGCATGCCTAGATCCCACACCAGCCCACAAACCTGTGTGACTCCACCTCTCTCAGTTTTCTGAGAATGTGGTCTCCTCCCTTGCTTAAGAGGCAGGCACAGATTTTGGCTTAGCACTCTTAAGCCATGGACCACAGCCCATGGGAGCCAGGACCTGTTCCTGGTTCCCTCCTCTGGACACCTGGGGTTTGGTTCCATGTGTGCTGTGGGATCTGAAGGTCTCTCAGGCTGCTGAAACACACCCAGGTTTAGCAAAATACCCAGGCGGGGCAGTGTGGCTGCACTTTGTACATGCTCCGGTGGAGCAGCCAGGCAGGAGCCCTGGGAGGGACTGGTGGGCAGGCAGGCCTGCAGGGCAGATGTGCCTCAGCCCTGTGGGGAAGCCAGCTCTGCTTTCTTCTTGGTGGTTAGCTAGGGCCAGAGCCTCTCAGAGGGAGATGAGGAACCCTGGGTAATGGGTACTAACAGCTGGACTCTGCTGGAGCTGTCCCACACATAAAGGCCCCTGGCTCCATGCCTGTTACAACTCCACTTCCGTCGAATCTCCAGTGGGATCTACTCACCAGCTCAAATGTCTATGAGGAATGCGTGATCCCTTAAAGCTAGGATCACAGAGGTCCATGGTGACAGTCCATAGTCTTCCGGTCTCTTTACTCACCCTTTCCCCAGGAACTCTTCAGGGCCAGGCACCAGCCCTAGCATTCAGTCATCACATGCAAGGTTCCCAGCTTCCTCCCTCTTCAGCCTCAGCATCTGCATATTTTATTCATCCATATTTAGCATTTTTTTTCTCCAAAGATCTGTTCAAATTATGTTGGTTTAGTGGAAATACTGGTCTCTCTCTATGGAAGTAGCACTTCCCAGCTGCATCTAGTTGGTCATCTTGAGCGTCGCTCATTATTGGTCTGTTCATATTTTCTATTTATTTTTTTATTTATTACTTTAATCTTGATAGGTTGTAAGTGCCCAGAAATTTTCCTATTCTTCTATGTTCTTGAATATCTTCACATACTGTTGTTCATAGTAGTTTCTTACAATCCTTTGTATTTCTGTGATGTCTGTTGAAGTGTTTTCTTTTTCATCTCTGGTTGTCTTTGGAATATTTCTCTTTTCTTCTTAGTCTAGATAAAGCTTTGTTTATTCTGTTTGTATTTTCAAAAAAGTAACTTTTAGTTTTGTTGATCTTTTTAATTGTTATGTTAGTTCTTATATTGTTCATTTCTGCCCTGAACTTAGCTGCTTCTTTTTCTAGTTCATTGAGGTTTTTGTTTTGGTTATTTATTAGAAATCTTTCTTCTTTTTGTCTTAATATTTTATTGATATATAATAGTTGTATGTATTTTTGTGGTACATGTGATATTTTTGACACATGCCTACCATGTGTATTAATAAAATTGGGGTAATTGAACTATCCATCACCTCAAACATTCATCTTTCCTTGGAACTGGAAACATTGAAATTCTTCTCTTTTAGCTATTTTAATATACATAGTAAGTTATTTTAAGTGTAATTTCTCTACAGTACTATCAAATACTAGAACTTATTCCTTCTAACTGACTGTATTTTTGTACCCCTTAACCAACACCTTATCTTCATTCCCTCTTTCCTTCTCTTCCAAGTCTCTGGTAAGCACCATTCTATTCTGTAAGTCTGTAAGACACACTTTTTGAGCTCTGATATACCAGTTAAAATGTGATATTTGCCTTTCTGTGCCTGGTTTATTTCACTTACAATAATGACCTGAATTCCATTCATGTTGCTGTAAATGAGAGAATTTCATTCTGTTTTCTGGTTGAATAAAATTTAATTGTGTAAGTACACCAAATTTTCTTTGTTCATTCATCCACTGATGGACACTTAGGTTGATACCACATCTTGACTATTGTGAGCAGTGTCATAATAAATATGACAGTGTGGATATCTCCTTGATATACTGATTTTTTTCTTTTGGATATATACCCAGCAGTGAGATTACTGGTTCATATGGTTGTTCTATTTTTGTGTTTTTGAGGATCCTTCATATCATTCTCCATAATGGCTGTACTAATTTACATTCCCTCCAACAATGTATGCATATTCTTATTTTTCCACATCATTGCCAGCATTTTATTTATTTTTTGTCTTTTTGATAGGAGTCATTCTAACTTGGGTGAGATGTTATTTCATTGTGGTTTTGATTTGCATTTTCCTGATGATTAGTGATGTTGAACATTTTTTTCATACAGCTCTTGGCTGTTCATATGTTGTCTTTTAGGAAATATCTATTAAAGGATTTTGCCTATTTATTAATGGGATTATTTGCTCTTGTTATTGAGTTGTTTGAGTTTCATATCTATTCTGGGTGTTAACCCCTTGTGAGATAGATCATTTGCAAGTATTTCCTCCCATTCTGTAGGTTGTCTCTTTATTGATGTTTTGTTGTTGCTGGTTTTCTTTGATCGATGTAATCCTATTTGTCTCGTTTTGCTTTTATTGTCTATGATTTCAAATTCTTATCCAAAAATATCTTTGCTCGGACCAATGTCCTATAACATTTTCCCCAAGGTTTCTTTTAGTGGATTTAAAGTTTTAGGTCTTACATTTAAGTATTTAATGCATTTTGAATTAATTTTTCTATATATATATATGTTGAAAAATGGGGATATAATTTCATTTTTCTGCATATGAACAGCTAGTTATCTAAGCACCATTTATTAAAGAGATTGTTCTTTCCTCAATGGAAGTTCTTGGCACTTTTGTAGAAAGTGAGGTGACTGTGAGTGAATTTAATTCTGTTCCATTGGTAAATCTGTTTTTTTCTATGCCAGGGACATGTTTGGTGTTCCGTAGCCTAGTAGTATAATTTGAAATCAGGTGGTGTGATGCCTCCAGCTTTGTTGCTGCTGCTCAAGATTGCTGTTTTTATGTGGGATAATTTCTGGTTCCATAGTAAATTGGCAATTGTTTTTTCTATTTCTGTGAAGAACATCATTGGAATTTTGAAATAATTGCAATAAATCTGTAGATTGCTTTTGAAAGTATAGATATTTAATACTAATAATTATTCCAATCTATAAACATGGGCCATCTTTCTTTTTTCTTGTATCCCCTTAGTTTTTTCATCAGTAATTTATAGTTTTCCTTGTAGAGATTTTTAGCTTATGTAAATTTATTCTTAAGTATTTTTTGGTAACTATTCTAAACAGTATTATTTTACTGATTTCTTTTTCAGATTTATTGCTACTAGTATATAGAAATGCTACTAATTTTGTAAATTGATTTTGTATACTGCAATTTTAATGAATTTGTTAGTTATTTGTAAGAGTTCTGTTGGGTCTTCAGGTTTTTCTAAAAATAAGATTATGTTGTCTCCAAACAAAAATGATTTGCTTCTTCCTTTTTAATTTGGATGCCCTTTATTACTTTATATTGCCTAATTACTCTGTCTAGGACTTTAGTACTATGTTGAATAGAAGCGAAGAAGGCAGCATTCCTGTCTTGTTCCAGATATTAATAGAAAGGCTTTTCATTGTTCTCCATTCAGTGTGATATTAGTTGTTCATTTTCATATATGGTTTTTGTAGTATTGAGGTATTTTCCCTATGTGCCCAACTTGTTCAGAGTTTTTATCAGGAAGGAATGTTGAATTTTATCAAATACTTTTTCAACATCTATTGAAATTGTTATATAATTTTTGTCCTTGATTTTGTTAATGTGATGTATCCAGTTTATTAATTTGCATATATTGGACAATCACTGAATCCCTGGGATAAATTCCACTCGATCATGAGGAATAATTTTTTTAATGAGCTGTTGCACTTGTTTTGCCAGTATTATTCTGAAGATTTTATATTTATGCTCATTAGGGATATTGACCTATACTTTTTTTTTTTTTTTGTCTTACCTTTCTCTGGTTTTTGTTTCAGAGTAATCCTGGCCTTGTTCAATGAATTTGGAAGTATTTCCTAATATTCAATTTTATAAAATAGTTTGAGTATGTGTGGGATTAGTTTTTCTTTACAAGTGTAATAGAATTCAGCAGTGAAACCCCTGTGTCCTGTGCTTCCTTTTTATGAAAAAATAATTATTACTGCTTCAGTCTCATTACTCATTGTTTGCTTAGGTTTTCTATTTTTTTCATGCTTCTATCTTAGTAGGTTGTCTGAGTCCAGAAATTTATCAGTTTCTTCCAGCTTTTTCATGTTATTGATATAAACTTGTTCCTAGTAGTCTCTAATAATCCTTTTATTTTCTGTGGTATGGAGGGGTGAAGCCAGCTGGACTTCCTGGGTCGAGTGGGGACTTGGAGAACTTTTCTGCCTAGCTAAAGGATTGTAAATGCACCAATCAGTGCTCTGTGTCTAGCTAAAGGATTGTAAATGCACCAATCAGTGCTCTGTGTCTAGCTAAAGGATTGTAAATGCACCAGTCAGCACTCTGTAAAAACGCACCAATCAGCACTCTGTGTTTAGCTAAAGGATTGTAAATGCACCAATCAGCACTCTGTAAAGTGTAGCTATCAGCACTCTGTAAAATGGGCCAATCAGTTCTCTGTAAAATGGACCAATCAGCAGGATGTGGGCAGAGCCAAATAAGGGAATAAAAGCTGGCCACCTGAGCCAGCAGCAGCAACCTGCTGGGGTCCCCTTCCACGCTCTGGAAACTTTGGTCTTTTGCTCTTCACAATAAATCTTGCTGCTGCTCACTCTTTGGGTCTGCACTACCTTGATGAGCTGTAACACTCACCGCAAGGGTCTGCCGCTTCGTTCCTGAAATCAGCGAGATCACAAACCCACCAGGAGGAACAAACAATTCTGGACACGCCACCTTTAAGAGCTGTAATACTCACTGTGAAGGTCTGCGGCTTCACTCCTGAAGTCAGCGAGACCACAAACCCACTGGAAGAAAGAAACTCTGGACACACCTGAACATCTGAAAAAACAAACTCCGGACACACCATCTTTAAGAACTGTAACACTCACCGTGAGGGTATGTGGCTTCATTCTTGAAGTCAGTGAGACCAAGAACCCACCAGAAAGAACCAATTCTGGACACAGTATCAGTTGTAATGTTTCCTTTTTAGTATCTGATTTTATTTATTTGTGTTTCTAACTATTTTTTCTTAGCCTAACTAAAGTTTTGTAAGATTTAACTTATCTAAAACAAACTCTTCATTTTGTTAACATTTTGCATTTTGATTTTATCTCAATTTCATTTATTTTTACTCTGATCTTTATTTTTTATTAATTTATATTTTGGTTTCCTCTTGCTTTGCAAGTTCTTAAGGTGAATCATTAGGTGGTTTATTACAAATCCTTTTATATTTATGATGTAGGTATTTATTGCTATGATCTGCCCTTTTAGAACTGCTTTTGCTGTATCACATAGGTTCTGTTATGTTGTGCTGCTGCTTTCATTTGTTCAAGTTTTTTTTTTAATTTTCATTCTAATTTCTTTATTTACCCATTGATCATTTGGGAGCACGCTATTCAATTTTTATGTATTTGTACAGTTTCTAAAATTCCTCTTATTATTGATTTCTAGTTTTATTCCTTCATACTGAGAAAAGTTATGTGGTATAATTTTGACTGTTTTTAAATTGCCAATAGATATTTTTGACCTTACACATTATCTATTCTGGAGAATGTTACATGTGGTGATGAGAATAATTTGAATTCTGCAGCAATTTAATAAAATGCTCTGTAAATATCTATTAGCACTATTTGTTTAAAAATTTAGTTTAACTCTGATGTTTCTTTGTTGATTTTCTGCCTTAATGATCTGTCCATTGCCAAAAATAGGCTGTTGAAGTTTCCAACTATTACTGTATTGCAGTCTGTCTATCCTTTTAGATCTATTCATCTTTGCTTTATATATTTGTCTGCTCCAGTGTTGGATACATATATATTTACAATTGTTTTATCTTCTTGTTTAATTATCCCTTTATTGTTGTATAATAAACTTTTTGTGGGGTTTTTTGATAGTTCTTGAATTAACATCTATTCTATCTAATATTAGTATTGCTTCTCCCGATCATTGTTGGTTTTTGTTTGCATGTAATATCTTTCTCCATTCCTTCACTTTCACTCTGTTTGTCTTTAATAGTGAGGTACATCTCTTGTAGGCAAAATATAGGTGGATTTTTTGATTCATTCAGCCATTCTATATCCTTTAATTGTAGAATTTAATTTATTCACATTTAATTTTATTATTGATAGGTAGGATCTTACTTCTGTCATTTGTTTTCTGGTTGTTTGGTAAATCTTTGTTCCCTTCTTAATCTCTTGTTTATCTGTGGTTTGTAGTTATCTAATGCTAAGTGTTTTTTTTTCCTTTCCTCTTTCTCATCTATGTATTTTTGTGGTTACAATGCTGGTAACATAGAGTCTCGTTATAAGACTATTTTAAGCTGATAACAACTTGACTTTGGTCACATAAAAATACTTTTAGCCTTTTCCCCTCACTCCCACAATTTGTATTCTGATTGCTTTAATTTATATCATTATTGTTTGTATGTTTCTTCATCACTAATTTTAGCTTTTAATGTTTTTGACTTTTTTAATTTGAATCTTCATACTATAGGATTGAAGTATTTACATAGCAACATTACATCACCGGGGTATCCTGATTATTGCATGGGTTTACCTATACTGGTAAATTTTGTACTTTCATGTACCTTTGCATCAATTATTTTTCTTTTATTTCCTACTGTAGTACTCTTTTAAGCGTTTCTTCTAAGTATACCCCAGTGGTGATGAATCTCCACAGTTCCACAGTTTTTGCTTGTCTGGGAAGGTCTTTATTTCTGCTTTATTTCTAAATGATAGCTTTGCTCAATGTACTATTCTTAGATGACATTTTTTTTTTTAGTTCTTTTAATATGTCGTCCCACTCTCTCCTGGCCTGTAAGGTTTTTGCTGAGATATCTGCTGATTGTCAAATAGAAACTATTTTATTGTGACTTGACATTTTGAGTTTTGTCAGTTTGATTATAATGTGCCTCACAGAAAATATTTATCATTTAAATTTCATCGGAAGCCTTTAAGTTTGCTGAATCTTTGTGTCCCTATGTCTCCCAAGACTTGGGAACTTTTCAGCTACTATTTTATTATATAAATTTTCTATGCCTTCTGCTATTTCTTCTTTCTCAGGCACCCCTATAATACAAATATTTGTCCACTTAATTGTGTCCCATAAGGCTTCTTGGCTTTTATATTCTTCCTTCTGCTGGATTTAGTCTGTTGTTGAACCTCTCAATTGTATTTTTCATTTTTTTGTCATTGAATTCTTTAGCTGCAAGTTTTTTGTTTGGTTCTTTTTATGAGCCATCTCTTTGTTGAATTTCTAATTTAGATTATGAATTGTTTTTCTAATTTCACTGTATTGTTTGTATTCTCTTATATCTTTCTGAGTTTTCTCAAGATTTTTATTTTGAATTATTTTTCAGGCATTTTACAAACATCCTTTTCTTTGGAATTTTTTACTAGGGACTTATATTGCTTCTTTGCATAAGTCACATTTACTTGCTTTTTAAATATTTCTTTTGTCCCTGTGTTGATATCTATTTATCCAGGAAAAAAGTGGTATTTTTTTTCCAATTTTATGGAGTAACTTTTGTAGCAAGAGGCTTTTTCCTGTAGAAGGGTCCTAGGGTGTTGGTTGGGAATGCTATATCAGTTTTAGTTCTGAGTAAACTCAGCAGCATGGTCTCCATACAAATTCTTTGGCTGTAATTCTTCCCTGAGATGGCTGCAATTTTCTCAATGTCCTAGACTACAGTAGTTTGTTGCTGTGGTTATGTAGTTTTGTTGTTAGTGGGGGCACTGGACTGATTGTCAGTCACGTGTGATTGTGGCATGCCAGTGGGTTGTGTATAGGTCTGTCCTGAATGGTAAGGTCACTGTTGAGCTGGCTGTTGGGCTGGGGGCATGTATACATGAATTGGGTAGCTGAGAAAGATTTCTATCTTGTTGGGTAGGACAACTTCCAGATCTTCTTTAAAGCTGGGGCTGGGAATGTTCAGGCACAGAGGCTGTGTGGGACACTGTGGTGGTCTGGGGTTGTCTCTGGTTGGATATAAAAACAGGAGTAGGTGCACACTGACTCAATGGATGAAAAAGGCCTTTCTGCTGTTCAGGTCTGCCTGTTTCTCTGGATGATCAGGTTCCTTGTGAGTTTGGGCATTGACATTCCAGTCATTCATTTGGGCCTGGGCTTTAGGCAGCTGGACTATTGGTGCTGTAATCACCTATGTAAATGTAGTGAAATGAAAGTGGTGCTTTACACAGAGTGGTTTGGTGGCTACTGCCCCCCTCTGCCCCCCCACAGGTAGAATGCACTCTAGATATGGGTCCAGTTTCAAGGGGATTCTGTGTCATAGTCACTTAGGTTGTAATGTGGGGGTGTTAAGAAGGTTCCTGCTTTTAAGGAGTGCAGCTGCATGGAGTCCCAGTAACTGTTCACACTGGACTTGGGGACTGTGAGGATTGAAGGACCTTCCTGTAGAAGTGACTACTGGCATCTGCGTCAGTGATAGAGAATGCTAAGGGTCTCCAGCTTACCTTTATTTCTATAAAAAAGAGGTCCTACAGCTCCAATATGATCCTGGTGGGGGAGAGAGTGTGGCAGAGGCAGGATGAGTTGCTCCCATCCCTATGAAGCTATCCTGAGATTTTGTGCTCCACAGGCATTTTGCTATTCTCCTGGTGCTCTCTGGCACAATTCTTCCGTCACTTCTGTCAAAATATACATTGTTTTACTTACTTTTTGTGGGGGTGGACTAGAAACAGAAAACACTAGTCAGCCATCTTTGCTGATATCATTCTCAACACAAATTATTTGAAAAACTAGTCATTTCCCTTTGAACTACCTTGCTAACTTTGTTATAAATTAATTCACGGTATATGGAAAAGGTCTACTTCTAGACTTTGTATGTTTATCAATTATCTCTTTGTCTCTACTTATGCTAATGCTACACTTTCTTTATTGTCATACTTTTATAATATGTCTTGAAACTATAGAGCTTGAGCTACTTTTCACATATTATTCAAATGGTCTTGGCTATTTAAGATAATTTGTTTTTTACATGTAAATTTTTTAGAACAATTTTGTCAATTTCTTCAAAAAATACCTCATAATGTTTTTATTGGAGTAGACTTAAATCTATAGATCAATTTAGGGAAGATGCACTTGCTAACATTATTGAGTCTTCTATTACATGAAGAGAGCATATTTCTCCATTTATTTAGTTTTCTTTTAATTTCTCTCATCAGTGTTTAACAGTTTCCATCACACAAATCTTGAACATGTATTGACAGATTTTTTCCTATGTATTCCATAGTATTTCAATACTATTGTGTATTGCAATTTAAAAAGTTTTCATTTCCAGTTATTCTTTTCTACTCTATAAAAATAGAATGTGAAGATCTTGTATTTTTGACCTTGCTGAACTTACTTATTGGCTCTAGTAGGAATCAAAGAATCTGTGAAAAGAAGGGAAACAGTCTTATATTTACCCATGTACTTATCATTTCAAGTAATCTTTATTCATACATGTAGATCTTAATTTCAAACAGTTATCTTTGTCTCTTATGCCAGAAGAAGTAGCTTAGAGATTTATTTTAATGTAGGTGTAGTGGGGGTACATTTTATCAAGATTTCTTTTTCTAAAAAATATCTATAAACTGTCTTCCTACTTGAAAGGCATTTTCCTTAGATATAGAATTCTAACTTGACACTTATTT